>NC_000012.12:46248006-46399521 GCF_000001405.40 Homo sapiens | reverse complement strand
ACTTTTTGATGGGTTTTTTTTTTTGTAAATTTGTTTAAGTTCTTTGTAGATTCTGTATATGAGCCCTTTGTCAGATGAGTAGATTCCAAAAATTTTCTCCCATTCTGTAGGTTGCCTATTCACTCTGATGGTAGTTTCTTTTGCTGTGCAGAAGCTCTTTAGTTGAATTAGATCCCATTTATCAATTTTGGCTTTTGTTGCCATTCCTTTTGCTGTTTTAGTCATGAAGTCCTTGCCCATGCCTATGTCCTGAATGGTATTGCCCAGGTTTTCTTCTAGGGTTTTTATGGTTTTAGGTCTAACATTTCAGTCTTTAATCCATGTTGAATTAATTTTTGTATAAGCTGTATGGAAGGGATCCAGTTTCAGCTTTCAACATATGGCTAGCCAGTGTTCCCAGAACCATTTATTAAATAGGGAATCCTTTCCCCATTTCTTGCTTTTGTCAGGTTTGTCAAAGATCAGATGGTTGTAGATGTGTGGTATTATTTCTGAGGGCTCTATTCTGTTCCATTGGTCTGTATGTCTGTTTTGGTACCAGTACCATGCTGTTTTGGTTACTGCAGCCTTGTAGCATAGTTTGAAGTCAGGTAGCGTGATGGCTCCAGCTTTGTTCTTTTGGCTTAGGGATTGTCTTGGCAATGTGGGCTCTTTTTTGATTCCATATGAACTTTAAAGAATTGTTTTCCAGTTCTGTGAAGAATGTCATTGGTAGCTTGATGGGGATGGCATTGAATCTATAAATTACCTTGGGCAGTATGGCCATTTTCATGATATTGATTCTTCCTATCCATGAGCATGGAATGTTCTTCCATTTGTTTGTGTCCTCTTTCATTTCCTTGAGCAGTGGTTTGTAGTTCTCCTTGAAGAGGTCCTTCCATCCCTTGTAAGTTGGATTATTAGGTATTTTATTCTCTTTGAAGCAATTGTGAATGGGAGTTCACTCATGATTCGGTTCTCTGTTTGTCTGTTACTGGTGTATAGGAATGCTTGTGATTTTTGCATATTGATTTTGTATCCTGAGACTTTGCTGAAGTTGCTTACCAGCTTAAGGAGATTTTGGGCTTAGACGATGGGGTTTTCTAAATATACAATCATGTCATCTGCAAACAGGGACAATTTGACTTCCTCTTTTCCTAACTGAATACCCTTTATTTCTTTCTCCTGCTTAATTGCCCTGGCCAGAACTTCCAACACTATGTTGAATAGGAGGGGTGAGAGACGGCATCCCTGTCTTGTGCCAGTTTTCAAAGGGAATGCTTCCAGTTTTTGCCCATTCAGTATGATATTGGCTGTGGGTTTGTCACAAAAAGCTCTTATTATTTTGAGATACGTCCCATCAATACCTAGTTTCTTGTGAGTTTTTAGCATGAAGGACTGCTGAATTTTGTCGAAGGCCTTTTCTGCATCTATTGAGATAATCATGTGGTTTTTGTCTTTGGTTCTGTTTATATGATGGATTACATTTATTGATTTGCGTATGTTGAACCAGCCTTGCATCCCAGGGATGAAGCCAACTTGATCGTGGTGGGGAAGCTTTTTGATGTGCTGCCGGATTCGGTTTGCCAGTATTTTATTGAAGATTTTTACATCGATGTTCATCAGGGATACTGGTCTAAAATTCTCTTTTTTTGTTGTATGTCTGCCAGGCTTTGGTATCAGGATGATGCTGGCCTCATAAAATGAGTTAGCACTCCCTCTTTCTTAAAGCACTCGGCATCTAGGCCATCACTCTGTTCAGAACCCCAAAATGGTGTCCCATCTCACTCTAAATAAAAACCAAAGCCTTAGAATGGCTCAAAAGGCTTTCTTTGATTTCTTTTCTAGGAATTCTCTTACTCTAGATAACTACAGAACTCATTCCCTCAATTCTATTAGCTCAAATATGACCTTATCAGCCTGTGGGTCTTTCCCTAATGTCCATATAAAATAACCGCCTCCTATTTTGGGAGGCCAAGGTGGGTGGATCACGAGGTCAAGAGATCGGGACCATCCTGGCCAACATGGTGAAACCCCATCTCTACTAAAAATATGAAAATTAGCTGGGCATGGTGGTGCATGCCTGTAATCCCAGCTACTTGGGAGGCTAAGGCAGGAGAATCACTTGAACCTGGGAGGCGGAGGTTGCAGTGAGCCGAGATCACGCCACTGCACTCCAGCCTGGCAACAGAGCGAGGCTCCATCTCAAAAATAAATAAAAATTAATTAATTAATTAATTAATTGCCTCCCTAGACTCCCTCCTATGTCCCTTTCCAGGAGCTTCATATTATAATCTATGTTATATAATCACAGGTTTACTTATTTTATATAAGCTGGGTTTGTTCACTGCCATATTGGCAGCACCTATAACACTATCTGGCACATAGTAGGAAGTCAAGTATTTATGGAGCGATCTAGGGAAGGAATCCTAAGTCCTGGAAACTGAACAGAGTATGGGCACGTAACCAGCCTTCAATGTTTGCTTCAGAGAAGGCGAAGTTCTCAGAATACAAGTGGACAGTGCTAGGGACATTCTGTACACCCTATTTATATTAGGCTGGAAAGACCGCTCCCTGTCCCAGGGTAAGGTAGGACACAGCCGCCACAGTATCTCTGAAAAGATTCTACAATACCATAGAAACTTTTAAGTAACATCTGTTTGGTGCCCTAAACAGAGATGTATGAAAACACATTTCTATGAAGATGAAAAAAATTCAAAAACGAATAGGCTAAAATGAAAACAGAAAAGAACATGAAGCCACTGGAATAAGAAAAAAACACAAGGAAAAACAAAATGCCATACCAGAATTAAAGTACTCCTTTCAAGCAGTAAAGACCATTTGTACTGCAGAAAATCAATTGTGATGTGGACAGATAACTTGAGTAGCTCCTTTAAAATGCATAAAGGTGAAAAAAATACATAAACAAGATTAAAGGAAATTTCCCAGGGGTCTCACACCTGTAATCCCAGCACTTTGGGAAGCTGAGGCGGGTGGATCACCTGAGATCGGGAGTTCAAGACCCACCTGACCAACATGGAGAAACCCCGTCTCTACTAAAAATACAAAATTAGCCGGGCATGGTGGCGCCTGCCTGTAATCCCAGCTACTCAGGAGGCTGAGGCAGGAGAATCGCTTGAACCCAGGAGGCGGAGGTTGCAGTGAGCTGAGATCATGCCATTGCACACCAGCCTGGGCAACAAGAGCGAAATACCATCTCAAAAAAGAAAAAAAAAAAAGAAATTTCCCAATATATTAATGTCAGCATCTTCAGTGATTTTCCTGTTTATATATTTCTTCTATTCTAAACTTTTAATAATATACATATAAATCACAATAATCAAAGAGAAAAATGGAAAGTAATAATTTTATATACCTTAAACTGCTTATTCCTAGTTTCTATTTTGTGAGAGGAAAACTATTTCCTAGCCCCTTGTCCTCCTTACAGCCCAGCAATGTCATTCCTCCCCACAGCACTCAAGTACCTAAAAACTCATTCTACTGGAAATTATTGAAGGATCTGGCTTTTTCAATATGACTAGATCTAAGGAAGGTCCCAAAACTTTGGGTGAAATTAGAAGCACTGAGAAACAAACATGAAGCTGAGGACACTGTTTTCTTTATATTTCTCTACCTCTCACAGTGATGGGGACACAACCATTTTGTTAAAATGCCTGTTAGGATGGAGAGTGCCAATTTCCACTTACAAATACATATTTTGCGTATGGGATAACAAAATGTTCATAGGCTACTGAGACTATGTGTACATTAGAGTTCTGATGGGAAATCGGCCTATAATCCCATATCCTTAATGCAGTGGACTTAGCTGCTTCAGGAATACTTCCAAGACTGCAGCTAGGGTTTTTAAACCTCAGTCGGCTTTGCTGGCATGTGTGCTATTTCTTTCCCTCCTTCCCCAAATTTGCAAGCTCGTTTCTTCTTAAATTCTGCATTAGATGATGCATGAATGCGTTTTATTTCCTCAATGGAAATGTAGATGCTGCACAGCTGTTAAGACTTTAAATCACCAGGTGGTACTTGGAAGCAGGAACTAAAATGGTGTTGCCAGGGTAACCACACATTCTTCCAGCTATGGGAAGAGCTGCCATGTTTTCTATGCTCTAGGGAATATATGTTATTTTAAAAATTGGCTTAGTGCATATGACTATTTACTATTTAAAAAGAATACCCATTTCTTCACAAACCAGTGAAATGCTTTTTGATTACTCATATGCCTGAAAAAAACATAATATTTTATCTTTTCAGGGCATCAGTCCTCATCTTTCTTTGCCAATAGAATTTTAAAGATCCAGTAATAACTAATATTTTATGCTACCCATAATATACTAGTACATCTCATTTTACACCTTACATAGATTCACTTCAAATATGCAATCAGAGCTTACCATTTAAAGAAGTACCATTGTGAATTCTGTAAGGAAATGCATTTACAGAATGTATTTATCGGTTATGAAAATCCTTACTGCCATTCATAGTAAAATCTGAGAGGTAGAGGTGAATCGTCTGAGATTCCCAAAGTTCCACTGGAGTTGACAAACCTTTAGGGTGGTTTGAGACCATACAGACAAGAAAGCAGCAGTCCCACAACACCCAAAACAAAGCAAAAAGAAGTCAATGACACAAATATTCTTATATCTATCCTTCCTTCCTCCCTTCTTCCTTACTTCCCTCCTTCCTTCCTTCTCTCCTTGCTATCATCCTTTCTCCCTTCCTTCCATCCTTTCTTCCTTCTTTTAACATCTATTTACTGAGCTCTTACTTGGCACTAGGAACCGTGGCAGGTACTGGGAGACTTTCTGTAGGGACTAGATCCAGCAGTAGAGGTGCAGATGATACAATAGGCTCATCTTCAACTGTACTAGATTTTGTTAAATTGTTTTCCAAAGTGGTGATGTCAGTGAAATTCTCCCATGAGCAGTGCATAAAATTTATTTGCTCTACATCCTCACCAATACTTGATCTCTGGGGAATGTAAAATCCTACTTTCTGGTGGTTTTAATTTTGTGTTTCCCTGATCACTATGTTTATGGTTATTGGCCATTCAGGTTTTCTTTTCTGTCCACTGCCTGTTTATATCCTTTACCCATTTTTCTATTGGGTTGTCTTTTCCTCATTGATTTATAGGGGTTCTTTATACACAGTGTGTATAAAATTTTTTATATGTTTAAATCTCTTTCTCACTTTTCACTTCTTTAGGTATTGTTTAACATCAGAAATTTCTAATTTTAACACAGTCAAGTTTATCCATCTTTTTCTTTAATGTTTATGTTTTTGTACATTGTTTAAGAAATTCTTAGGTATTCAAAGGTGATACAAGATTTCCTTTCAGATGTTTAAAAATTATACTTTTCACATTTAGGTCTTCAACCTACCTGTGATTAATTTTTGTACAAGGCATGATATAGGGATATAATTTTACTTTTTCCCATATGGATAACTAGTTGTACCAGAATCCATTACTGAATCATCAAACTCTTCTTCTATATTACTTCTTATATATAACAAGTTTCCATCTGTGTGTGGGTCTGTTTCCTAACTGTCCTTTCTGTCCCATCAGCATATATGTCTATGCCTTTGCCATCACTGCCCTTCCTTGATTACTATGGCTTCATAATAAGTCTTGAGATCTATTAATGTAAAAACCTGTACCTTGGTCTTCTTCAAAATTATCTTAACTATTTTTGGCCCTTTACTCTTTGTATAGAGTTTAGAACAGGCATGTTGAACTGCTACTATCACCATGGGTCTTTTATACTACAGATTATACAGCTGGATTTTTATATACAAAGGTTAATCAGAAAACACACAATCTGTTACTTGGGGGCTCTGTTAATTGGCTACAAAGTTGTATACACAAATTCTAAAAATGCATGAACTTTGAGCACATTTTATGAATTAAGCATTGTGCAGGGTACCTTGCATATATTAATTTAGATGGTCCTCCCAGAGATGTTGTAAGGTAGATAATATAATCCCAAATTTACAGGTGAAGACACTGAAGATCAGAGAAGTTGTGTGGAATGCCTAAGGAAGGTGTAGTAACCAGCAGTAAATGTTAAGGTAAAGATTCAATTCTAGATCTTTTCAGATTCCAAAGTTCTTGCTCCTTCTATAATATCATTTCAGACTACGCCAAAACCTTCTAGTTTAAAACAATAAACATAATGTGACTACTATTTGTATTGCATTTAGGTACTCTGCATTTAGGGATATTATTTACAAATTGTCATTTGCCCATATAGTGAACAATTCAGTCATTTATTTGAAAGGCATTAAATGCCTATACTATACTAGGCACTGGGTACTCTTAAAAGCAGCTCAAAATTGACCTGAATGTCAACACACTCTGAAAAAAAGTTAGAAAAGGTGAAAATGTCAAATTAGCTGGGGTTCAAGGTTCTCCAATTACTTTGAAAAGCTGCAGATGCACTACCATTAATTTTGCTTGAGGGTTGTTAATTCGTGTGTGTGTGTGTGTGTGTGTGTGTGTGTGTGTGTGTGTGGTCTGAGCTGAAAACCCAAAGAATTTTAAGTCATTTCAAAAGATTCTCTAAGTTAGGACAAATTCACAGGTAGCTACTAATTTAGGTATTTCCCAATTTAGGCCACATCACATGTACTACACTGAGACAGTCACGTGGGAAAGGCTACTCGGCAAAACCCCTACAGGCCTGCACACTGGGGTGGAGCCACAGAAGTCTGCAGGGAGGAGCCTGGCCCCTCCTCTTTCTGGGTGAAACCTGGGATTCAATCTGCAAGGCAGGAAGCCCAGGGGCAAGAAGCACACTCTTTCGCCTTGCTGATAGTCTCCCTTTCCCCTTGTCTTCCTTTTCACCCAATAAAACCCTGCCTTAGTCACCCTTTAAATTGTCTGCGAGCCTAAATTTTCAATGCCCTGTGACAAGAACCCCATCTTCAGCTGAACTAAGGAAAAGTCCCGCAACAACACTACATGTAATTAAGTGAGGAAAGGATGTCTTATAATTTTAGGACTGGTTAATCACATGGAAATTGTGAGGACACGTCTCATTTTTTAATCAATAAAAGGTAAAAAGTCGGGTTCTCTTCCTATATTCTTTGGGTAGCACAGTATGCGGATCTCTGAGCTTTAGTTTCCCAGGTTGCAGAAAAGGAGAAAATTTTAATGTCCATCTCAAAACATCATGATATTAAATGTGTAATGCATTCGAAAAAGTACTTTATAAACTATAATGTATTAAGTGCATGTTACTTACTGTCAGATAAAAATTTAATAATCGAAATAACTGTTTCTAGAGCCTATGTGTGAGCTAAAAAGCAGTTTGTACTCATTTCAGAATGGGAAAGACTCAGGGCAGGGAAAGGAAAATTAAAGATTTCTAAACAAAAATAAATAAGAACAAAACAACACAAGTTATTTCAAGTTTTCTTAAGAATCAGAATAAATATATTTGAGACAATAAAACTTCTCAGTGCCTTTTTACAGGTGGCATCCTCCTTGTAGGGCACAGAACAGTTATTACCTGATCAGCATCTTCCAAAGTTCAGGACCACTGAAACCATAATAGAAGAATCTTGGGAGCTAATGTCAAAGAATCATTTTTTGCTATGCTTGATTTAAGTCCAAACTTTAATGTGATTTTAATCTATTGCATATCCAATGAGGAATTTAACTGTGATAATACTGAAAAGAAATATTGGATGAGAAACAAGACAGGCCAAAACCCACAAATCTCCTGGGGCCACTCCTGACATGATTCTATGTCAATAGACTGGTTTTTAGCCAGAGGCTTTTCCGAGCATTCTGTCTTTCAGTTACAGATTGCAAACCATTGGAAATAAAATGCATCATCTTAAATTGCAAGAGCACATAGAAAAAAAGTAGCAACAGCATTACAGAAATATGATTTATAGCTAAAAGGGTGTGATATTCTGATGCCTTTCTCCTTGCTTTTAGACTCCTGTAAGGTTCAGCAGGACCTTAACCCTAAATTAAGTGGCTTCATAAAACCTCTGATAGAAAACAGTCTTGGACTGTCAGCAGGATGTTTGTGGATTATCTTAAGTAATAATTAACAATCAACCATTGGATTCAATGACAAAAAATACTGAACCATCTCTTCCCCAGTTCCAGCTATTGAAGTAGACTATGACTGAAAAACAAAAATAAACAACATATTTCCTGAGCTGAAGAACAGAAAGTAAAATTCAAAAACCTGTCTTCATGGCTACCACCTTCAATGTGCCATTTGTGTACTGTACCATGTCCTGGGGGGAGCGGGTGGTTAGGGCTGAAATCCAGCCTGTACTCCACTTATCAGGCCCTGCACCCTGGGATGGGGCTGTGTCAGCCAGAAGGAAGAGAGGTCTTCTAAGCAAAACGCTCCATGAGTCTGAAATGCTGCAACAGCACAAGGCTAATTGTCACAAAACCATTGTATAGACTAGCGGGCCCAGCCTGGCTGGCTCAATAGTGACTCTCTAAATGACTTATGGAAAATCACAACTTTTTCATTTCCTGCAAAGGAAGCCCTTCACATTGTTAAACTACCAATGTTTGTCAATCCACACAAAGACTACCATCCATCTCCTGCTGACGGGTAACATCAAGGGTCTTTCTCTCAAAATAGAAATAATAGAAACAATTGTTATACAGCAAGGTCCTGGCCTTTCTTTAATCAATGGCATTCACTCTGCCACACTTTCCTCACCTTCTTGTCCTCTAGCTTTAGCCACAGCTGGATGGAAGCTCTAGAAAACTTTTCACAAGATAGGATTAATCCCAAAGATCATTTTTCTTTTAAATTTAACTAGCTGTTTGCTGCTTCAGCCATCACTTGATGTTAGCCTCTCTGACATGACAAAGACAAAATTTGAGATTTGTTTGTTTGTTTAAGCTAACACTTGAGAAGTACTTAACATATGCCAGGCATGGTTCTAAGTGCTTCCTTTACAAGTTCAGACTTAACTAAATCTTCATGAGTTATTATTTATCTTTCACATTCATGAAATTAAAGCACACAGCTAGTAAAAAGCAGAAGCGAAATGAAACCAAACAGTCTGGATCCAGAGTCCATCATACCCAGACTGCTTTGCTGTAGGTACTGCCCTACAGCACAACAGGTACCTCTGAACAGTATGTTTGCCAATATTCCCATTTAGTGTATAATGCCCTAGGTTACAGCCTTTGGCAAATAAATGGTGTTGTCCTTGATGCCAGATATCATACCTAAATTTTTAAAAATTTACTGTAGAGCAAAATAAAATCAAAAGAGCATACTAAGATGCAATATTCTCAAGTAAGACCAGCTAAGAAGGCTTCCATTGTATTCAGCAGAAAACATAATTTCTGCAGACAAATTTAAAATATTTGAAAGCAAAATGAAATGTTCACCTTTAGCTCTCCACCTTCTAGGGCCAAGTGATGCAAAAATTCCATATTCCTAACAATAATATGAATTATCAAGGAAAACATTCATCATCTTTTCTCTTTAACTCTTTTTTGTAAATTTAAGTTACAAAGCAAAAAATTTCAAATCTTGGTTTTTTAAACAAGGGAGGGAGCCTTTTAACCAGGACTTACTCATGAAATTTATGCTTCAGAATCACAATGACTATCACTGCAGCTTCATTAATAAGAAGAAACTAGAATACTACTTCTTAGATATATATCTTCCTAATGTTTCTAAATGAAATTTCCGGGACAAAGGAACCTAATGATCATTAAACCAGTACTTCAGATGAACTTCTAATCATTGTCAAAGGCAAGTCTGTGTGAAAATACATATATGTGTCTATAAATATGTATGTTTCATATGGTTATAATGGGTATCCTCTAACATGAAACATACTGCAAATTATAGTCGACTTAGAATCAACTTTATGAAGTAACTAGGAATGACTAGTTAATTAACTAACTCTGGCTTCCCCAAAATTCTGAAAGTAGATTTTTAGCCTAATGGGTTAAAAACATAAGTACTAGGTACTTACTGAGAGCACATCTGGAATCACTTTATCTTGAAACTGTTGTATAATGAGGTGCTAACATAACCAACTATGGCTTGCCCCCCACTGAAATGTGTGTGTGTGTGTGTGTGTGTGTGTGTGTCCTGGACTTAACCCTCTTCCAGTAGCAAGTTCAAATTCCAGAACAGTTTGTCCAAGGATCATGTTGGCAGGAATGTGCTTGTCTTGGAAACTTGTGGACCAAAATATGTTCATCCTTAAGAAAAGCACATCCTGCAGATAACAGTGACTGGCCAATCAGTGTTGTCACGTCACAGAACTGTGGGTTCTCATTTTCTTGCCCTCTTTCCAATATCCAGCCCATATTCAGCACTGCTTGTGTAACAAAAGGCAATAAGGAAGAAGTTGTAACAAATCCTAACAGCAAACAGACCAAGACTTGGGGAGTTGCAATCTGGGAAGCTGAGGGTCAATATTTCATAGTGTCATTGATGAAGCCTGTGAATTTACCACAGATTTTACGGTTGTCAGTTCACAAACTTTCTGGTGAAAACAGACTTCTATAATAATAATAATTGGATTGACTAATTTCCATGACAGGACATGAGTAGAATGAAGAGGCAGATGATCTGGGTTCTACCTCCAATCCAGCCACTAATCAGCAATTCAACCAGCAATAAGTCATTTTCCTGTCTGGCCTCAGATGCATTCATCCATAAAAAAAGAACTGTCAGATAATCTCTAAAATCCTTTCCAGTTTACATATATTTTATGACAAAGTTTTTTACCTAACCTCAAATATGTGTGTGTATGCTCATACACACACACACCCACACAGAGAGAGAATGAATCCAGACAATCTATCGAAGATTAAACCAGGCATGAAAATCCAGATGCTGCTGTACACTTTACAGACGATTCTTTAGTTATCATTTCTTCCTCATACAAGAGTGTGAGGGGCTCACTGAGACAGGTCTTGAGTTCCCCTCACTTGTACCTTTTAGTCTCTCTCATTTCCTCTTTTCTTAACCACTGTCACACCAAAAGAGGTACAGTATGGTGCATAAGTTTGCAAAACTATAAAATGATACCATTCTTTGATTCTTCATTCTTCGATGCCATTCTCAACCTTTTGCACTTGGAGAAACATAGCTATTTTCACTTTTAAATGTCATTTATATTAGCATATTGTGAGTTGGTTATTACTTTTAAATACATTGACTATCTTTTAAGTTTTTAGTCTTAATTTCTACTATAAATATCAACACATATAGTCCACATAAACAAAACTCTTTGTGGTCCTCAATACTTTTTAAGACTGCAAGGGGGTCCTGAGACCAAAAGTTTGAGAATTGCTAATGTAGTAGTTAAGAGGACAAACTCCAGATCCAGCTGCCTGAGTTAAAATGTCACTTCTATCACTTAACAGTGGTGTGACATTGAGTACAGTCGCTTAGTCACACAGTTGTTCTGTGCCTCAGTTGGGGATAATAACGATAATAGTACTGACCCCATAGGGTCATCATAAGGCTTAAATGAACTGATATATGCACCATGCTTAGAAGTGTTGTGAGCCATCATTCTCTTTGGCGCTATTCACCTACCTCCATTCCCCGTGGTTTGCTTGGTTTGGTTTGATTTGGTCTGGTCTTACTACTGCTGCCTCTCCGTTTGACTGGCAAAGTGTGACTGGCACTGCTTCACCAGGGGCTAAAGGCATAGCTGACGAGGCTCCTTCATAACCACAGCCACAAGTTCGCACTCCAGTGCTGCAGCACCCAGCTGTACTTTGAATTTGCCCTTCAGAGAGGCTCCATCAGCAAAAGTCAACTGGAAAATCAAAGCAAGCAATGCTAAGTTTTTTAAAAACACGCTATGTCAGATGAATTAGAATGTAAAGTAGAAACTCTAGCCTTCGGAATAAATCAATGAGAGGAAGGAAGTAGAGACAAAATGCAAGCAATTACATTCATTCCTTAAAAGAAAAGGTGGTATCTGCCCAAGCTCCCTCCAATTTGAACTATGTTTTCACAGCCTTCCATCTCCTTTTTAAAATCTCTCTTCAACATCCCAGAGCAGCCTCCTCCCACCTGGCCAAGAACCCTCAGGCCATCAACTTGCTTAAAAAAATATGATGGCCCAGATTCTGATCACGTGCACATGACTGACGGCCATTGGATCTTCCCAGGGAGTACTGAAGTTTTATGAGTATTATGATCATAATCCCCTGCATTTATATTAGTTTTCTTTCTAATCTATATTTTCACATAAATTTTTCTTTAATTCTTGGCACTCAGCATGCTGTTATTCCTATTTAACGGTTTAAAAAACTGAGGCTCAGAGAAGCTAGCAAACTTGTCCTAAGTCCCAAAACTTTGAATCAACGGAACTGAAACTGGAGTATAAATGAAATGGGAAAATTTTTAACGACTGAAGGACTGGGGGAAATGCACACAGCAGGGAGGGGCAGGCATGCTGCGGGGAGGCGGAACTAAGCTATTTTTGTCAGGGGGTTACTTAAGCAAATCTGCTCTACTGTGGAAATAACCTCAACTAACTCCCCCTGAGTTTTACACAGCCTCTTTATTGCCTCCACAGCTCAAAACTATACATTCTCTAATTCTAAGACTTATTTTTATTATTTTTAAATACTAATTTGTTCATACAATGGATATCCAGGTGGTACTGTTCTTAAGAGGATTTTAAAGAAGGTACACCCAGTATGTTTTATATTTAACCTATGGCTGCTTCTCAAGAGTGTTTGTAAATTGAGAACTGTCTGTATTGCATGTGTGATGTCATTAAATATATATTTGGTCTGTCCAAAACTATCTGGCATTTGTCCTTTACCAACATTACTGAGTATTTTAGTTTCTCAATCATGCGAGCTTAAAAAGCACAGCCAAATCTAATGAATGTCAAACTTGTGTAGTGACTCAAGTTGATTTCAGTATGTTTAAACAGAAAAAAAAATAGAACTCACAAAGGATCAACTGGAATGAGTATTCACTTTAAAGGAATGCAAAAAGGAATCCTTTTGAACCATTCATTCTCCTGAATATGTTTAAATGTGCATTAATTTAGGTACAACTGCTAAGGAAAACTGTTTATCATATACGAAATATTTCCTCATTAAAAGTAATGGCAAAAACCGCAATTACTTTTGCACCAACCTAACAGCAGACACTTTGAATATGAGTGTAATGTTCTTTGTATGTAACAATGCTAATGCTAAGCTATCTCAAATATCTTCTTTTACCTGTTTTTTTTCCTTCGGTAACTTATCAGCCCTGTCCAATAACAGTTCCTACAATAATGGAACTATCTGTCAGTGCTGTCCATTTTTGAATGAATTAATAAAATTAATTTTATTTAAGTAGTCACATGTGGCTACTGAGCAATTAAAATGCCCTATTGAAGAACTTAATTGTCAATTTTATTAATTTTAATTCATTCAAATAGCCATGTGGCCAGTGGTTGTGTATTGGACAGAGCAGTTATAAGATCTCCTTCAGCCAAAAAAAAAAAAAAAAAAAAAAAACCTATGATTTTATCATTCTATCATTGTGAGGCCAGAATTAAGGCTGTAGTTATTAAACCTCTGATTATTAATTGGATGCTGAAATACAGTTAGCTAACTGAACACACAATTTTAAAGAGGCTGTTTTTGTTCTTAATAAACATCAAAAAAACTATTATGTGCAAAATAACATGTGGGTAAGTAGGATATACACAGACCAAGATTGAACAGACATTTCCTGACGGGGACATTGCTCTCCCAGTTTCTGCTAAATTCCAATTCAGTACATCCTAACAAGACATGGCTGATCAATTGTGTAAGCTCATGCTTTTAACAAGTATTGCTTAGCTCAATAACTCCCATAGCTCTAGGACAAACAACTGTCCTGAGCCCTGGGGACACGCTGTTGCACTCTGTTGAGCCTGACAGAATGCCTGCTCTTCCAGGCACTTACTCTCCTGGGAAGCACAGCCAGGTGAACAGGCCACGAGAATACACCGTGGTCAGTACCACTACAGGGGCAGACCTTGGGTGCCACACGAACACACAAAAGGAGCTTCTAACCCAGTCTTGGCTGGACAGGGAAGGTTTCAAGTGCAGAAAAGAAGGTTCCAGAAGGAAAAAACCAGTAGTATCTTGCTATCAAATCTATCCATTATTTAGGTTTCTTTGGGAAATTTCCTTTTCATTTGGCATTATGTCATCGTCCTTTCAAGGGTATTCACTTTTTGAATACATTTCAATCGATATATATTTATCGAACCCTGAAGACTAAAAAGCCTCATCGTCATTCTCCTGGAGGATTCACCATTTGCTCGGGGCTAAAGGTGTATGAAGACAAACCTTTCTCCTGAGAAAAAAAATGAGTTCTTAGGTCAAATATTTCAATAATCTACCCTTTAAGAAAAATGTAACACTGCCTTGGAATGCATGATTTCTTCATAAGACTTCCTTTTTACAATTGTGTGTGGCTTTCTACCCAAACTAACTTTAAACATCCCTCCACAATAAAATTCAGGAAGGCCACTTTAATAAAACGAGGGGGAAAATCCCACCAAAATGTAAACTTAATATTTCAACACAATTAAATTTATTAATAAAGAATTTCTATTGCATAGTGAACAAAGCATTGGATTTACCTGACAGTTTGGGGTCAAATTCCAGTTCCTCCTCTTAGAGAAGGAATGGCCTTGGGCGAGTTATCTAACTTCTCCAAGCATCAGTTTCCTCATTTGTAAAAGGTCAATAATGGGGTAAGAATAGCCCCTACCTCAGAGTTGATGAGAGAAATGAATATGCACACATTTACAAAGACCTTAAAGTAGTGCGTACCCTAAGCCTTATATGAAGATTATTATTCTTTCTAATTACAATAATTCTAATTGCAGAAATCTATGCGAAAACAATACACAGTTCTGGCCAAAAGAAGTTAAAACAAATGTGAAAAATAAGCGACATCCAGAAACTTCAGCAGCTCCCTTCTGTCCTATGCCTCAAGGTACCAGAGAGGGAAAAAGACCCCCAGGAGAGGCTGTGAGGAAACCTGAACTGCAAACCCACCACGATGTCTTCCTGGGAAAGGCAAGTTGGTAAAGAAAGATGTGAACTCTATTTCAGGGTAGTATGTTTTTTTCATTTGCTTCCAAGACTTTGATGGAATGACTTGAGAGGAAAAGTTCACAATTACTAGAAAGAACCTAAAAGGACATGAGAGATGAAACCGTTGCAGTATTTTTGAAATAAATGTTTTCCTGCAAGAGCAGAGTCATGGGCGGGGTGTCTGTGTAATATCTACTCAACACAGCCGAAGGGTAAGAGGAAATCTTGGTAAGCCGACTTCCAAGTCTTAATGGGGAACCATACGGAACCAACTGCACGCCAAATCCCACGCTCACCGAAGCTTCAGGGATTTTCTTGTGGGTCTGGGGGTTTAATCTGACAGCTCCTAGAGCCTTCAGGACTTCCCGGGCACAGATAATGGGCCGCGACTGCACCCCCGCGTCCCTCCTTGGGGCGCAGGCTTTCCACAGCTACAGTTCTCCACGTCAGCAGCCACGTACACAAGCGCCGGCAGCTGCCAACAGGGCGTGCCCGCTTCCAACCCTGCACTCTCCCAAGCAGGACATCCCTGCACCGCCCGGCGCGTTCGCGAAAACTCCGCGGGGCCTCGAGGCGTCCCGGGATTAGCCCTGACGCTGTAGGGCTCTCTAGGTTTTCCACGACGCAGGGGAGCGTAACTGGAGCGCACCCGACAGCCTCTCAGCTTGCCCAGGCTCGACTGGATGGGGCTTTGCTGGACCCCCGACCCGACCCCCACACACCCGGGCGGCGGGGCCCAGGTACCTGCCAACGCCTCCGCACCTCATCGTCCCCTCTGCTTCCCCTCCTCCCTCTCCCCGAACCCTTCCCCCCTCCTCCCCGCCTCCTCCCCGCCTCCTCTTCGCCTCCTCCTCCACCTTCTCCTCCCCCCGACCCCTGCTCCCACTCTTGGCTCCAAGTCCGCGCGCGGGCTGGGGAGGCGGTGCCGAATGAATCACCGTCACGTGGGTCGCGGGCGCGCAGAGGCGGGCTGCGCCCGGGCGGCTCTGGCGCTCGGAGCGTTAGTGGAAAATTTCCGGAGATCTACTGGGGCTGCGCGCCGCAGGCCCCGCCCGCCGCCTCCCCGCTCCTTCGTATCCCCACCTCCTTTTCCCCCTCCCTCCTCCTTTTCTCTCTTCCCCCGCCGTTTTCCGGTCGCAGCCGGGCCCCGACATTGCGGAGGTTCCTTTCTCTCCGGGGAGCGGCGCTGCGCACGCCCCGCCCGCTGCAGCGCCCCAGGCTGGCGCCGCCAGACCCCTTTGCCCTGGGGCCGCCAGCCCTCGCTTCCTTCGCGCGGCTCCAAGCCGCCACGCGGCCTTGCCCCCGACCTTGCGTGTAGCCTGCTGGTATCCTGAGAGGCCAGGAGCGGCGTCCTGGCGCCTCCGCCTTCGCCTCTGGGGCGCCGCACCCCCGCCACCTCCGTTCCGCATTGAGTGAGACCCCCCACATCTCCGGGCGGAATGTGAGACAAAGGGAGAAGACGGTGACGATGGGCGTCTTGTCTTCTCATTTAGAATTACTGCACCGCCGTTTAAACAAAGCACATGCAAGGCCAATTGTGTTTTACCCACTCCCACTTAACCACTGAGAAAATAAGCTATTTTCTCTATCCCATAACATTCTCCACTTCGTTTTCCCAACCACGAACAAAATTTATTCCTGAGACAGCAACTTTGAGGATTTCGTTGACCTCATCCATGTAGAAGTGACAAATGGTTACACAACAAAATTGTTTCACTCAAAGGGGGTTGTTGTGTACGTGGTTCACCTCAATAAAACACACATTTAACTGTTTCAGCAACTGTTTAGCCCTGGACTGTCGCCCGGGTTAATGTCGCTGAATGGGGTGGGGGGTTGAAAAGTGGCATTAGCGCCACGTGTCCCAAGACGAAGTGACATGGAACCGGAGGCAGGTGCCTTAATCAGTCACGAAGTGCCAACGATGTCAGTCAAAACAGTTGGGAGTTTTATTGAGTAAAGATCTCAGAACCAAGCCCATATATTAAATGGTTCCCATCTAAGAACCAGAATTGCAGGTGTGTTAATTTTAATAAATCGTTATTTCAGTATCTTAGCCCTGGGCAAAGAAAGATCCGGAAACTGACTGAAGGCCAGGAATGTAGGTTCATCGTGGCCTACGAGTGCTTTGGGTAGCACACCTTCTTTCAGTCACTGTCATTTCTCTTTAGACAAGAAGACCCCTAACAAGTATTAAAATAAAGGTATTTTTTAATGATCCTGTTTTGGAAAATTGTAAGGATCTGAAATTTTTAATTTTTTAAAACAATGGAGCACTTCAATAAAACTTCTATTTTCTTTACTAAGAATATACACAGCTTGTTTTTTAGCTTAATTCTTGATTGTTGCTGTGACCTTACCACATTCTGAATAACCTTAAGCATGTATATGAGAATCGTATCTGTGATTTTGCTTTCACATTTCACTTTCCAAGACACTTATTGGTAATTAGCAGGTGTCAGTTTACCTAGCCAAAGAACCATTGTCTATAAATCCTTCATCTCTCTGCCATTGTTTTCTTTCACATTCATTGGCATATACTACACCTAGCAAAATAGACCATTCCAGGGTCAAATGAAAAGGCCAACAGGTAAGTATCACAAGAAGGTCATTAGTCAAGCCGTTATTTCCCCTCTTTTATTTGGGAAGGAGATGGGAGAAACAGAGTTCTGATACTAGGTCCCTGGAAAGTTCTTCAGTCTTGACAGAATTGGGTATGTTTGTACTAAAGTATCTGTAAAACTAAATTTTTTTAAATTTTTTGTTGTTGTTTTGAGACGGAGTGTTGCTCTTGTCGCCCAGGCTGCGGTGCAATGACGCGATCTTGGCTCACTGCAACCTCCGCCTCCCAGGTTCAAGCAATTCTCCTGCCTTGGCCTCCCAAATAGCTGCGATTACAGGCGCCTGCCAGCACACCCAGCTAATTTTTGTATTTTTACTAGAGACGGGGTTTCACCATGTTGGCCAGGCTGGTCTCAAACTCCTGACCTCAGGTGATCCGCCTGCCTCGACCTCCCAAAGTGCTGGGATTACAGACATGAGCCATCGCGCCCAGCCATATTTCTAAATTTTTTTAAGACTGAGTTTCTGTGGGCCCCTTAATTTTCTTTTTCTTGCTGAAAAATGAGGTATGCATTTACAAAATACTGATGCTTGCAAATATATGGATTTACAATATAATATATTTTTTAGGCATTACTATGTTTTCCAGTCCTGGCCAGTGGGATCTGAGACAACAATAACAGCATTTCCAGGAAATGTTATCTCTCAAAATAAAATTAACTCACAAAATGACGCTCCTTTCTTTTGCAATGGATGTGGTCCTGTCTGCCTATGACCCCTAAAACCACTGCAGCCAACATGTGACCATGATGGGAGAGATCCCCAGCATGTTGAAGAAAGCAAAGTGAAAATATAATGAGCTCTTTGTCTTGGAGGGAGGTATCAGGGCCAAGAATTAACCCCAGAACTGTGCTCTCTACATACTTCTTATTATGTGAGATAGTGTCATTATTTAAGCCACTTTCAATTGCATATTGTGTTTATTGCCATAAAATGTTTTCTGGCTGGGCACAGTGGCTCATGCCTATAATCCCAGCACTTTGAGAAGCTGAGGTGGTGGATTGCTTGAGCCCAGGAGTTTGAGATCAGCCTGGGCAACTTGGCTGAAACCTGTCTCTACAAAAAATTAGCCTAGCCAGACGTGGTGGCCTGTGCCTATAGTCCCAGCTACCCAGGAGACTGAGGTGGGAGAATCACCTGAACCTGGGCTCTCTGATCACACTGCTGCATTCCAGCCTGGGCGACAGAGTGAGACCCTGTCTCAAAGTAAAATAAAAATAAATAAATAAATAAATAAATAAATAAATAAATAAATAAAATAAAATAATAAAATAAAAATATTCTTGCTGCTGACAACTTCTCTGTGGTAGCCAGCCTCCAAAATGGCCCCCAGTGATGCTTACCTCCTGGTATGCACTCCCTTGTGTAGTCCCCTTCTATGTTGAATCAGGGCTTGCCTTTGTGACTGATAGAATATGGTAGAAATGATAAAGTGTGACTTCCAAGGCTAGTTCATAAAGGCATTGCAGCTTCTGCCTTGCTCTTTCTTGCTAACTTGCTCTGGGATAAGCCAGCTGCCATGTCATGAAGACATTCAGTCAGGGTTGTGCAGACACCTTCTTGGAGAGGAAGCAACCAGCCAGCACCAACTTACCAACATGTGAATGACCTTGGAAGATCTTCCAGCCCCAGTCATGCCATCAGATGACTAGAGCCCTCTCACAGCTGACTGCAACCTCATTAAAGACTTAAAGCCAGAACACCCAACAGAGCTGCTCTTGAATTCCTGATTCATAGACACTTCGAGAGATAATAAATTATTGTTGCTTTCAGACACTAAGTCTTGGAATAATTTGTTACATAGCAATTGATATCTAATAGAGTATCTGTCAACACCAGAAAAACATGCCAAAGTCAGCAAAGCACTCCCAGAGTCCGTACTGTTGCTTTAGACTTGAGAGCTATCTTACAAGATTGAATACAACCGTTCATTTATCAAGCACTTTCTAAATATGATCCCAAGAATAATATATACAAAATGATAAAAAGAAAAAAAGAGTTGAGACAAGAATTTCCTCAGGCACCTGGAAAGATTAATATTAAAAATATGGAAATGCAACAACATGGATGAACCTCAAGAACATTATGCTAAGTGGAAAAAAGTCAGGCACAGAAAGACAAATCACATAATCTTATTTGTATGTGGAACCGGAAACACTCAAACTCATAGAAGTAAAGAATAGAATGATGGTTACCAAAGACTGAGGGAGTGGAGGGGAGGAGGTTTGGGGAAATGTTGGTCAAAAGATAACAAAATTTCAGTTAGATAGGAGGAATGAGTTCAAGAGCTCTATTGTACAACATGGTGACTATAGTTAATAACAATGTATTGTATTTTGAAAATTGCTAAGAAAATAGGTTTTAACTGTTCTCACCACAAAAAATCAGTATGTGAGGTAATGCCTATGTTATTTGGCTCGATTTAACCATTCCACAGTGTATACATATTTCAAAACATCGTGTTGTACATGATAGATACAATTTTTATTAGCCAATTTTAAACATTTAATTATTCTCCAGTCTTCACTATTTGAGGAAAAAAATTAAGTTAAATACATAAGAAGCTGGGCGCAGTGGCTCGTGCCTGTAATCCAGCACTTTGGGAGGCCAAGGCAGGCAGATCACGAGGTCAGGAGATTGAGACCATCCTGGCTAACACAGTGAAACCCCGTCTCTACTCAAAATACAAAAAATTAGCCGGGCGTGGTGGCGGTCACTTGTAGTGCCAGATACTCAGGAGGCTGAGGCAGGAGAACAGTGTGAACCTGGGAAGCAGAGCTTGCAGTGAGCCGAGATCGCGCCACTGCACTCCAGCCTGGGCGACAGAGTGAGACTCCGTCTCTTAAAAGAAAGAAAGAAAAAAAAAAAGCAGTAAGAAAATATGGAAGTCATTGGAATAAGGGGAAGGGTGTGGTTTGAAGGGAGATGGAGGAAAGAAAAAGTAATTTCACTATCTCTCCACAATGCCAGTGTTCATACTTGAATTTTGAATAACACTGTCCTAAGACAAAGGAGTGAGGCTGTGTGCATAGCAAAGGGGCATTTAATTAGGTGAAAAAAAGCCATTAGAAAGCAAGCCTTGGAATTCATCCTCATGCTTGTGTTTTACAAAAGACTGGGTCTGAAATGCCAGGCATGGTGGCGCATGTCTGTAATCCCAGCTGTAGGGAGGCTGAGGCACAAGAATAGCTTGAACCCAGGAGACAGAGGTTGCAGTGAGCCAAGATGGTGCCACTGCACTCCAGCCTGGGCAACAGAGTGAGAAAAGAAAGAAAGAGAGAAAGAGAAAAGAAAAGAGAAAGGGAAAGAAAAGAAAAGAAAAAAGAAAAAGGGAGGGAGGGAGGGAAGGAAAAGACAAGACAAGACTGGGTCTGAGAAAAAAAATACTGTCTTTTCTATCATCAAGGCATTGCAACAAATATGGATTCAGAGTTTATTTTGTGCTAGGCATTGAGGGAAAAAGTTGAAAGTACTAAATCAACAAGCACTTATTGAACACTTTTTATGTATCAGGCACTGTTTTAGGCACTGAAGATTCATTTAATAATGAGCCAAACCAGTCTTTTCCTCATGGAGTTAATGTTGCAGAAGATCATAAGCAAACAAACAAATAATGTGTTTTCACACATTGCACTAAAAAATAAAATAGGACAGTGGGGAATGGAGCTTGAGTCCAAGGAGCAACTTTTGCTGGAATGGCCAAAGAAGATTTTTTTGAGTCAGTAACATTTAAGATAAGATCTAAATGATAAGAAGGGAGCTGCATAAAGATACAGTAGTTCTCCCTTATCTGCTTGAAATACATTTCAAGACCCTCAGTGGATGCCTAAAACTGCGGATAGTACCAAACCCTTTATGTACTGTTTTTTCAATCCGATTACCAATATGGCTACTAAATGACTCACAGAGAATGGACTGTGTGTGAGCACCACGAATGGAAACCCACACATGAGTTAGGCTATGATTCAGGAGATGTCTTGAGAGAGATGATAGTCTCACTAGGGCCAGAGCAATGCAGATGGTGAGAAGCAACAGAATTCTGAATATATGTGGAGGCAGAGCCCTCATGACTTGGTGATGGGTTGGTTATTTGAGGAAAAGGAGGACTCAACATGGTTCCTTGGTTTGGGGCCTGAGCTCCCTTATGAATCATGGTGTTATTCTGACTTGGAAAGGTTCGAGGAAAAATAGTTTTGATAGAGAAATCAAGAGTTCTGCTTTAGGCAGTAAGGGATAGGATAGATGCCCTTTAAACATAACATATAATAGGTTTCTCTTGGTTCTTGAGAAACTCAAAACTATTTACCCTGTATTTATTCATTCAGCACATGTATTGTCAGGAGCTATTTCAGGTGCTGGAACTAGCAGTGATCAAAGCTGATTAAATCCCTGCCCTTGTGCACTTACGTTCTAGTGAGGGAGACAAACAATGAAAAAGTAAATAAATAAACATATTTAACATAATTTCAGGTGGTGATAAGTACTATAAAGAAAAAAGTATTTAATTCATTTATATATTCAAAAAGTGCCTTATTTTTACAAGTAACTGGACTGGGTGTAATTAGCAAGAGGCTGCCCTGCAAAGACACTAACATCAAATCTAATATGTAGACAACAGGAAAAGAAGTGTCACCAAAAAAAAAGGATATTTATAAAGCACTAAGTTGAAAGTAAAGTGAGATCGGTTTCAAATGGGATCACCAAATAAAGAGGAGCTGATACAAGTTGTGATATTTAAGCTGGGCTTCAAAGGAAGGATATAATTTAAATATATAGTGGCAGGGAAGAGGAGGTATGAAGAACATTCCGAGTAGCAGAAATGGTTTAAATGGAAAACAGTTTATATTGAGAACACTGAGCAACATATATTGGCAAAAGCATAGGGTATATGAAGGGGAATATATTGGTTATCTATGGCTGAGTAATAAAATGTGCCAAAATGTAGTGGCTTAAAACAATAAACATTTGTTATCACTTGTTTCTGTGGGTCAGAAATCTGGGCTGAGCTTATCTGGTCCTCTGGCTAAGGTATTAGCTGGGACTACAGTCATCTCAAAGTTCAAATGGGTGGAATCTGCTTCCACACTTACTCATATGACTATTGGCAGGCCACAGGTTCTACCTGGTAGTTGCCAGAAACACCCATTCCTTGACATGTGGGCCTCTCCATAGGACAGCTCGCAAGATGGCAGCTTGTTTCCTTCAAAGCAGATGAAGGAGTGAACCAGAGAAAGTGAACAAGAGAACAAGATAGAAGCCACAGTCCTTTTTTTTCTTTTTTTTTTGAAGGAGTTTCGCTCTTGTTGCCCAGGCTGGAGTGAAATGGCGTGAACTCGGCTCACCGCAATCTCCGCCTCCCAGGTTCGAGCCATTTTCCTGCCTCAGCCTCCCGAGTAGCTGGGATTACAGGCATGCACCACCATGCCCAGCTAATTTTTGTATTTTTAGTAGAGACGGGATTTCGTCATGTTGGTCAGGCTGGTCTCAAGCTCCTGACCTCAGGTGATCCACCCTCTTCGGCCTCCCAAATTGCTGGGATTACAGGCATGAGCCACCACGCCCAGTCTGTCTTTTTGTAACCTAGCCTCAGAAGTGACATGCCATCACTTTTGCCACATAGAAGTGCATCACTAGGTCCAGCCCATATTCAAGGAGAGGGGATTACAAATATGTATGAATACCAGCAGGTGGTGATTTATTGGGGCCTATCCTAGAAGCTGCCTACCACAAGGAATAATGGGAAATAAGATTGGAAATATGGGCTGGGACAGATAAAAGAAAGCCATAGAAGCTAATCTGCGAATGAAACTATACAGTTGGAAATGGAGGGTAGAGAAAAGCAAATTTTATGTGTAAGCCCACTTTTGGCAAATTGTAGTGCTGGATAAATAGAATTTTGAGGGTCATCTTAAAAACCAGTTGTTTAACAACAAGTAGAAAATGTCAACCAATGACAGCTTCCAGGAAACAGAACCACTCTATTTTATCAGGAAATAATGGTCAAAAAATTGTACAGAACATAGCTACCTACCTTCAATAAATAGTTCTAACAATCTATCCTGACAATGCATTCCTGAAAATCCAGAATTGATAACTGATTTTTGTGACAGTTTTTCTGTCTTAGGATAGGAAATAAGATTCAATTTCAGTAGCTTTCAAAATTCTTTGACCCCCCCCCAAACCACAGCAAGACATACATTTTACATCAGCAGTCCCCAACCTTTTGGCACCAGGGACCAGTCTTGTGGAAGACAATTTTTCCACAAAAAAATTGGGGGAGATGGTTTCAGGATGAAACTGTCCTACCTCAGATTGTCAGGCATTAGTTAGATTCTCATAAGAAGTATGCAACCTAGATCCCTCACATGTGCAGTTCACAATAGGGTTCGTGCCCCTATGAGAATCTAATGCCACCACTGATCAGGCCAAATGCTGGCTGAACTGCCACTCACCTCCTGCTGTGCAGCCCAGTTCCTAACAGGCTTCAGACTGGTACCAGTCTGCTGCCCAGGGGTTGGGGACCCCTGTTTTACATCACAACTCATAATACACACACACATATATATACAGACACACATAATCACATATATGTATACATATGTATACATATATACACACATATATATACACATAATCAAGATAAAAGATTTACAGAATAATAGTACATATGGCATACTGATTTTTTAAAAAAAATTATTCTATTCTACTGCATTGAAGAAAATAGAAAGCTAGTACTAATCCACTGAATTCATCACTATCCACCACTTGGTCCCATTCTGAAAGTTTAAAAAATGCTGCTCTTCTAGAACATTAGCTTAGAAATCAAACAAAATTATAGCGCACTGACCAATAGGTATTTGGCAATATCGTTTCCCAGAAATTGAATGAGGACACTGTGTCCAATGCATTCAAGCCCAAAGCATAACAGCAATTGCTCAGAGCACATCAGGCCTCAGTTGGAAGTCTGATGGAGTTAGCAGGCATGCCTCAGTTTGGCCCTCGAAAAGACCAATCAAACTGGCAATAAAAACATGGAAGTTTCACCCCTCCACCCTTCTTTTTTTGTCATTTACTGTTCAAGTTCTGATCATACAGAGACCAGATCAATATTGCAGCTCCCCCCCCCGCCCCTGCCCTCCACTTTGCCCTCAGCTGTACAGGTATTGTGCTTCTCCTAAATATGTGTTGCAATACAAACCACCAAAAAGTCCAAAAGACATGAGATTTACTTATAGTGCCACTTGCCACCCATAACTACCAACCCTGAGGGCCTCCTTAGCACCTCTAACTGGGCAGAGGAAACGACCAGAGATTCATCTGGAATGAAAAAGTGGTTTAAGACCTTTTGATTGTTATCAGTTGAAACCTAATATAAAGAAACTTCCTGGGACTCCTCTCTAACCTACCACTACCAAGATTGTTGTGACAAGAAGAGTTGATTGATTTTATTGGGGAATGTATGTGGAAGGAAGATAGTTTTTTCAGCCCTAATTGTGTGTCAAATTCCAAACCTGCCCTTGGGGAGTTCACAATCTTTGGGCAGATGATACTACAAATAGTCTGGAACGATTTTGAGTGCATGACAGCACGGATTTTTAAAAGTCCGTCACCATATTGTTTTAGAAAATAGTACCTGCAAAAAGAGGGCTGAGTACGGAGGGATTAAGGCATGCGGGGCGCTTTCCTGTGGCTCGAAGACTAAGCCTTGCATGACAGCGGCATTTAAGGGGATGAGAGGAGATTGGACACCAAAGCAAGAATGGCTATTATTTAAGACTGGCCTGAACAGAGTAGAAGGTTTGCGGTAGGGAAGACTGGCCTGAACAGAGTAGAAGGTTTGGGGTAGGGAACACAGGAGTGTGATGGGGGAAATCGGGACCTCGCTTGTCAATCATAAACACTGGTGCAGGCGAGGGCACCCGAAGCCTCACGTGCGGCGGAAATAGGCAGTTGTACGGATTTCCTCAGTAAAACATTGAAAGCAAAAACTGCGATCACACCCAGCCCTTTCCTCTATGCCCTGCCCAATTTCTCCCAAGTCCCCAAAAGGAAGAGAGCAGTAGGTCAAACTTGTTTATTCATTCATTCCATGAACATTTCTCTCTCCTAAGGGGTCTTTGTTTCCTGCAAGGGAGTGAGTCTTGCCTTTCCCGCAGCACCAATTTTTCCACAGCGAAGGGTCCCCCTAGTTGCCTGGCTCAGCAAGACCACACACATCACCATTGAAGGGAAAGGACCAGGCTCCGCAGAAAGCGCCTCAGACCCGCATTCAGACAAGGCAGTGCCTTTGCCCGGGGCGGCGGTGGTGGGATAAGAGAAGCAACGTGTCAGCGAGTGGAAAACTGGGGACTCCCAAACGGCCTTAGGAGCGCCGGGCTCCCCACTGGGGCCTCTTTCTAAGGGGCCTGGCTTGCTGGCCAAAAGGTAGCCTTTCCGCTAGTCCAGTTTCCATGGCCGTACAAAAAGCACATCCCGAAAAGGAGCTGCTCGCCGACCTCCGGCTAGTTTTGAAGAGTGAAAGCAGGTCTAGGTGGAAAAGAAAGAACAACAAACCATCAGGACAACCTTGCTGCCTTGGCCCAAGTTTGTGAGACAAAACTTCACTGTAAATCACAAAAATAACAATCAAGAAAGTGTTTGGTGGGAGGGTGGTGTCCCCCAAAAGCCTTGATGTGTCCCCCGAAAGCAAGGACTGCTGGTGACTCGGACAGGAGAAAATTTTAAGGAGATGGCTCCTCAAAGACAACCGCATGTGTTGAGCACCAACCCTGGCTGAAAAGGATAGGCAGGGGAAGCATCTGGGGGTCTTTCCAGACTATCTAGAAAGCTGGAGAGAGTGGGCTTGGGCTTTGCGGGAGAGTCTTGGGGGCGCCTGCGGGCGGGGCTGGGCCGCGGGCGCGGGCCGCAGAGGGAGGGGCAGGGAGGCGGGGCCTAGGTCTGGGCGGGTCGGAGGCGGGGCCCAGGTGGTGTTGATACACAAAGAGAAGGCGCCCGGGCGGCCGCGGTCCCGCCCACTGACGCGTCCCCGGGGTGCCGCTATAACCCGCCGCTCGCAGGGCTGCTCCACAGCCGCGCGACGCCGCCGCCTTAGAACGCCTTTCCAGTACTGCTAGCAGCAGCCCGACCACGCGTTACCGCACGCTCGCGCCTTTCCCTTGACACGGCGGACGCCGGAGGATTGGGGCGGCAATTTGTCTTTTCCTTTTTTATTAAAATTATTTTTCCTGCCTGTTGTTGGATTTGGGGAAATTTTTTGTTTGTTTTTTATGATTTGTATTTGACTGAGAGAAACCCACTGAAGACGTCTGCGTGAGAATAGAGACCACCGAGGTAACGCGTGCGGGGGGGCGTCTGTGGGAAGGGCGCGGGGCCCGGGCGAGAGTGGGGGAGGGGCTTCCGGGAGGGGCCGCGCGGGAAGGCGGCCGCGGGGTCCGTTTCCTTTCGAGGCGGGCGTTGTCGGTTGGGCTGGCCAGCCTTCCACCCTGGCCCGCCGCGCGGGTGTCGCGCCCGCGACGTGGGTAGGAGAGCGGGCGCTGGGCGGGGGCCGCGTGCCTGCACGGTGCGGAGCCGCATCTTCCCATTAGGGGGAGGGGAGCTAGCCCGGCCAGCGGCTCTGCTGCGGCAAGTCTTGTGACTGATTTGCATTTAATAAAAAAAAAAAATTAAGTCCAGGGAGCCAGGAATCTGGGGGCGGCGGAGGTGGGCTTGGGCATGTATTACAGGAGAGGCCAAGATTGGGGAAGACGAGTTGGGAACATTTGACAATCGACGATCGATATTGCATCAGTTTTCTTTCCGGACATAGGAGGGGCTGGGCGGGCGTAGCACTCGCGGGCCAGCTGCCTGTGGACGGGTGTGCTTGAGGGCACTGGCGCGCGTGTGTAAACAAACCCCCAGCTCCCGGGGCCCGGGCGTTCGCCCCCCTCGAGAGAGGAGTAGTGTCGGCCCTTTCCGCCTCCTGGGGAAGGCTGTCTGCGGCAGAGGCATTTCTCCGTGTGGGGACTCCGGGCAGTAAAGGACAGATTACGCAGCATTGCTGTTCCAAATGCTAGAAACGGAAAGCCGTGCGCCTAGGTTGCATGCACACGAGCCAGGGTCGGGGCTGGATGTGTGCCCTGAGTGCCTGTGCAAGTTTGGAGCGACTGGGAAAAAGCAAAACAGAACCCCCCCTCGCCCCCTCCACTCCGACGAGGGACAATAGAGAGGGTGAAATACTGAAATCTGCCGGAGTAGGGGGCCTCGACGGCCGCAACACAGCGGTGGCATCATCTTTGTTCTCCCCGCGGCTCCGCCGTCTGTACTTTTCCGCCCCTCGGCGCGCCCCCGCCCCTCGCGCGCGGCTGGTACTTTTCCACTCGCCTGGCCTGGGATGAATCAGCCGCGCTGCGCCTCCGGGCGGCGTCACGTGACCGCGGCGGGCTGGCGCTGCGGTCCTGACGCGCCGCCTC
The DNA here is from genome assembly GCF_000001405.40 of Homo sapiens. Classification (NCBI taxonomy): domain Eukaryota; kingdom Metazoa; phylum Chordata; class Mammalia; order Primates; family Hominidae; genus Homo; species Homo sapiens. Next base: position 46,371,390 of record NC_000012.12, on the reverse strand, counting down.
TACTTTCGCAGGCCGACTCGCGGGCCGCTGCACCCACCGCCAAGGACAAAAGGAGCCCAGCGCTACTAGCTGCACCCGATTCCTCCCAGTGCTTAGCATGAAGAAGGCCGAAATGGGACGATTCAGTATTTCCCCGGATGAAGACAGCAGCAGCTACAGTTCCAACAGCGACTTCAACTACTCCTACCCCACCAAGCAAGCTGCTCTGAAAAGGTGGGAGAAGTTGTGACACTTTTGAAAAAACGGCTTGCATGGGTTGGGTTCAGGGAGTTACCTAGGACTCTGCTTCCATTGCTTTAATTTGCTATAGCATTTAGAGAAGGTGCGTAATCTCTGAAAGAGTATCCGATTATCTTGTTGTAATGACAAGATAGCTGGTGTGAAAGTCAACTCCTAGTTAATATTTATACATTAAGTAAAGATGTTGTATCAGAGCTATGCTGTTGGAGGGTATTTTATGTTAAAGCAGTCTTGTGTGTAATGATAGATATTTCAATCCAGTTTACAATTATATATGTCTATATTTTTTGCAGCCATTATGCAGATGTAGATCCTGAAAACCAGAACTTTTTACTTGAATCGAATTTGGGGAAGAAGAAGTATGAAACAGAATTTGTAAGTTAAAAATAGTAATTTGTCTGTCAGTGGCTTTATGGAGTAAAAGAATAGTTTTACTTTTAGAATTCAAATCTAACTTGCCCAAAGCTGGTTTTCTCCATTTAATTATTGTTATATGTTTGGTTATCGTTTTCCCTCTATGTAGCATCCAGGTACTACTTCCTTTGGAATGTCAGTATTTAATCTGAGCAATGCGATTGTGGGCAGTGGAATCCTTGGGCTTTCTTATGCCATGGCTAATACTGGAATTGCTCTTTTTATGTAAGTATGTGTAAGTAGTGAGTCTGCCATGCAGGGCAGTTACTATGGTAAAACATATTTTGGCTCCAGAAACTGAATTTACAGTTGGAGTAGCTGACTCAAAAGTTACTTGCTTAAAATTAAAAGTATGAGAAACCCCAAAAAATCTCTTTATTCTACTACATACTGCACAATATCAAGAAAGCCAACTAGAAAAAAATAGGGCAGTCCTTAAAACTGACAAATTAAGCCAGAAGTCTTCTAAGTCAGTGGGAATAGTTAAAACAAAATTGTAACAGATGGTAGATATTAAAAAAACTATGGCTAAAGCCAGGGTAGGTATAAATTTTGTTTTGGCAAATCAGAAGCTGAAAATCCTAATAAGCTCCAAATCATTTTGGTAAATCGACACAGTTCTTAAGGACCTGTGGCCCCTTACGTGAATAAGGAAAAGAAAATTTCTCTAAACATACAAGGTGTGGTGGTATTTACCCAGCCTGGAACATGTTTGTTTTAAGACGAGGAGGTCATAATTTTCTGGACCCTGAAAAGCAATCCATACATGTTTTTTTAATGTTTGCTTTTGTCAGACCTGTTCGATTGCCACATGTTGTGGCAAAAAATGAATACTTTAGTAAGTACTTATTTTTAAATGGTTCCCCCCACAGTTGCACAGTTAGACTTAATTACTTCTGTGCTTTCCAGCATAAATACGTGGATAGACTCTTGGAGGTACAGAAGACTTCAGAGCAGTGGTTCTTAGCCATTTTTGCGTCACTGACTCTTGGAGAATATGATAGAAAAATGTGGATCTTATTTCCAGGGAAAAAGCACAAAACAAAAATACATGCAATCTTAAGCATGTATTTTTCAGTGATGTTTGTGTCATAGCCCTTAAGTTTAAGTACCCGTGGACCCCTGGCTAAGGCAATTTCTGTGGAGGATTGTGTAACTTAATACCTTCATTGTACAGATAAGGAAACCATATGTATATAGCATGGAATTGTCCCTTTGTGACAGATGTGTTTTACTTAGCTGATTGGTGCCTTCTACTCAAGTTATTTTCTCCAGCACGATAGAATGTTCATGAAAAGAAAAGCAGACCTTTGCAAATCTCTGCTTTGTGAAATTCCACACTGAGGTTAAGCCTGGCTTTGAGTACTAGATGCTAGGATTCACTCTGGCTTGCTTCAATTAGGATGAGGCTTTTTGAGAGAACTCTTACTAAGGTGAAGGACCAGCGATTTACGTAGAATCCTAGAATCTCAGGAGTTCTTAGTGGAGAACCTGAATGGCATCACTGTCGAATATTTGAAATCCTTGTTAGCACTTGGTATAAAAACTGGAGGCAGTTTTAGAGTGCAGCCAGTGTAGTTAAAGTAAGAATTGAAATGATACTAAATGGCACCTCTGTTTCATAAGTGAAGGTCAAATTCTGATGTAACCCTTGTACTCTTGGAATTATACTTTAATAGGTGCTTATGTCATTGATTTACCATTTTGCTTAATGGCTAAATAAGATTGCTAAAGTGTGATTTTATTCATCAGTACTTACTTTATATTTAGAGGTATAGAGGAAAATGGGCCAAAAACCACATGGCTGCCACGGTGCACTTCAGCAACCCTGTAGCTAACCTGTTTAAGTAGAATCAATCTGAAGGTTGAAAGTGACCTCAAAGGTTATAAAGTCTATTCATCCCTTGTCATTTCAGTATAAGACATGGAAGGACTTAATTTGGTTTGTTTTTAATTAAACCAACATATTTTCTCCAGTTAGAAGTGAGGTTGATAGTGTCACTTCAGACTAGGTCCTGTAAAACTTCTGGCATTTAGAATGGTAGTGTAAAGCCACTTCCTCTGTTTAACTAATAGACATCAGTTTCTTTGTCAGCACCTTACATGGTACTGCGTGCAGTTTGTTCATACGGAATTAAAAAACATGTAACTCTTCTCCTTTGCAAGGTTTTCTATGAGTTTCCCTGTTTTGTTATTTAATTTCTTTAAAAAATTAGTCTGTATCTCTGGGCTCTCCTAGGTGGAAGGAAAGTAAAGCTGGAATGAGGGAGAACCCTTACCCTAAAGGAAAATTAGGTGACATTAGGGTCCCTTTAGTCACTCTATGTTACCTTATTTATTTATTTTTTTTCTGTTGCTCAATCCAAGTGAAAGGGTCAAGGGAGGAAAGGCTTAGAGACAGTCAAGCTGATAGCCTACTTGTTCTAGCACAGACATTGTTTAACTGTGACAATAGTGGGCCTGTATTCCTTGCCATGGGGTGCAATGTAGTATGTCATCACAATGGTTAGTTCTCTGATTTGTGCCCAGTTGTTAGTAAAGCTTGTAGTGCCTCTTAAAATGTTAGTATCATGTTAGTGTCATTTCCCCCTTACCATTCTTTTCCTTTTCTTTCTTTTTTTTTTAAAAAGACAGTATTTCATTTTGTCCTCCAGGCTGAGTGCAGTGGCAAACTGCTGGGCTCAAGTGATACCCCCACCTCAGCCTGAGTAGCTGAGACTATAGGTGTACACCACCACAGCTGGCTTTTTGTTTTTCCTTCGGTAGAGATGTGGCTTCCCTATGTTATGTTGTCCAAGCTGATCTCGAACTCCTGGCCTCAAGCAGTCATCCTGCCCCAGCCTCCTAGAGTGCTGGGATTACAGGCATGAGCCACTGCACCTGGCCTGTCATTCCTGTTTTTGTGTATACGGTCCATGTGGTCTTAAAACCTTTCCTGAACGTGTCTCAGTTGAATTTCCCAAGAACCTTGTGGGCTGGGTTTAGTGGCGGATATTACTAATATTTTACAGATAAGGGGAACTACTGAAATGCAGAAAGGTGGCAAGCATACAGCTCATTATTGTGGTGCCAGAATCAAAATACAAGTTTCAAACTCCATCACTGGGAAGTTGAGCTTTCCAGTGTCTCATGCTATGTTTGGCTCAGTGGGTAGACATCCTTGTTCCTAACCAATGCTGTAGAACTATCACCTGAGAAATGATGCAAGTTTTTACTGCCAGCCAAGAGACAGTGTTGCCATTCCAGTTAGTAGGAGAGGAAATGCCAGTTCTTCAGGGCATTTTGACACAAATAGGACAAGTTGCACACATAATGTTATTTAAACATCCAGAAAGAGTTGTCTTTAAATATAGCCATGCTTATTTATAACCCTATGCCTTTTCCTTCTCTCACCAGAATTCTCTTGACATTTGTGTCAATATTTTCCCTGTATTCTGTTCATCTCCTTTTGAAGACTGCCAATGAAGGAGGTATGATAGCATTCTTGATTTTTCTAAAACAATGTATACCTATCATTTTATTTCTCTTTTAAAATCCTTGGCTTCATGCTTCTGTCTTCAAATTGTAGGGTCTTTATTATATGAACAATTGGGATATAAGGCATTTGGATTAGTTGGAAAGCTTGCAGCATCTGGATCAATTACAATGCAGAACATTGGAGGTAAGAATTTTTCAAAAGATTATTTGGGTAGACTTTATGCTCATTGTGGAGCACAGAATGGTGACACATGCGTTTTAGTGTCACGTGCCGCGTTTTGCACTTGTAATGGTATAATTTTGTTTTCCTCCAGCTATGTCAAGCTACCTCTTCATAGTGAAATATGAGTTGCCTTTGGTGATCCAGGCATTAACGAACATTGAAGATAAAACTGGGTAGGTGCTAAGTAAGGTTACTCATAAGAAACAATTATAGTCAAAAGTGGTTAGATACATTTTTATCAAAGTTGTATACAAAATGATTAGTTAATTATCCATAAATGTTCCTTTTGAAACTGACCAAGAAGGCCCCCCATCCCCGTAAACTGATTCGAACTTTGGAGAAGGAAAGGCCGAAAGATAGTAGCTAGCCCTACAATTTTGGATATCTTAATTTCTAAAACAGGTTTTCTAGAACTTGCTTTCTGTCTTTATGTTCATACTTAAAGAAGTTATAGGTGTTTTTAATATATATCCTAAGTGAGGACTGAAGCTTTGAATTACATTAAAAATTAATCCGTCTTATTTTTGTAAGTTTGGAATTCTTAAGACTTAATCTGTTCAATGCAAAATACAGGCTGGACATCCCTAATCTGAAATCCAAAACTTTTTGAGTGCCAACATGACACTACAAGTGGAAAATCCACACCTGATCTCGTGACAGGTGTGCAAAATTAATTAAAATACTGTATAAAATCACCTTTAGGCTATGGGTTTAAGAAGGTGTATAGGAAACATAAGTGAATTTTGTGTTTAGACTTCAGTGCCATCTCCAAGATACTTCAAATATGTATGTGCAGGTACTCCAAAGTCCAAAACACTTCGGTCCCAAGCATTTTGAATAAGGGATACTCAACATGTGCCAGAAAATGTTTGGGCATGCTATAGAAACCATTTTCTTCTAGCAAAGTTACTCATCCCAGTGAACTCACAGGTATTTATCTAAAGTAAACATGGGGAAGGATAATTTACTTCCCACCCTATGTGCAGCTCATTACGTCAAAATAGAGAAGTGCTGTTATCTCAGATGTGGCTTTAGAAATTTAATTTTTTAAGCTGATCTTTAAGTGTTGGTGTTCTGCAGAGTGCTTACTGCTGAAGTGAACAGAATTCATGAGGCAATTAGAATTTGAAAATAGTGATTTAGAAGACAGTGCAATTCATGATTTACCTAAAAAGAAAAAGGCTTAGAGGATATACATAATGTTTTCTAAAGTTCAAAAGGGATATTTTTGGCTGTCTTTGGAGTTAAAGGTGGGTCAAGATGTCACAACATACTCTGATAACCTGGAATAAGTCCTGGTTTGGGGGACTGAGTTTTATAATTTTTTTTATGGGGGGGGCAGTTTGCCTGTGCATTTTATGAAAACGTTTCCTCATTGAAATATTTAATAATATTTGCTAACGCATCTGGAAAAAAACTTGTTTTAAAATTTTTTAGTTTCCAGCATTAGAAATTACATGCTAAAGCTGTACCAAAGTTGGTGTACAATTTTTCTGAAAGTGCTTAAAGATAAGATTACTGGCTTAACAAACAAGCTTTGTTCCCTGCATTAGTATCAAGTCTTTGAGAAGCATTTTGTGTTATGAATCAGCTGGCAGCCTTCCCAGAGCAAGTAGTGGGACAAAAGTTACACTGTTTTATACCCGACTTCTAACCTGAGTAAATGTTCATCTAGCACACAAAATTAAAAAGTTATTCCTATCTTGAACAGGGGAAACTTTTTCCAAACATGTCTTTTTTGTGTGTTTGTTTTCATGGTATTCCTATGAAATGAGTCCTGTTAGAAGATGTGTATATTTTTCAGAGGATATTTGTGACTGTTTTGACCTTGTTTCTGTTTTCTTTAGATTGTGGTATCTGAACGGGAACTATTTGGTTCTGTTGGTGTCATTGGTGGTCATTCTTCCTTTGTCGCTGTTTAGAAATTTAGGTGAGCAAACTCATCTCTAAAGAGAATTGAAATGAGCCTCTCACCAGTTAGTTGGGCTTTCTCTGAATAGAAATTAATCAGAATGAAAAAGCCCTAGAAAGTAGAAAGGTATATCTTTGGGACTTACAGCATGCAAAATTTAGGAGCCAAAATATTTAATTGACACTATATGTTGTGCTTTGTAAGAAATAATGCAAATGATAGTTTTTATTAGCTTGGGTTATGACAAGTATATTTAAATAAATCTATAATTTAGTATCATAAGAATTAGAAATTTAGTGCTATACACATACTTTAGTGCCTAAAGTCTTCCCAGCAGAATTGAGTTATTCAGTGGGAAAAAGATATTTGCCTTAAATCTGTTTCATTAAACTAATACTGATTCCTGCCACCCCTCCTTATAGGATATTTGGGATATACCAGTGGCCTTTCCTTGTTGTGTATGGTGTTCTTTCTGATTGTGGTGGGTATGATTTTTTTTTTAGAAAAAATTTTTTATAAGCCCTGCCATGTCACTTAGTTTAACACATGCAAAATAATATATTTTTAGGTCATTTGCAAGAAATTTCAGGTTCCGTGTCCTGTGGAAGCTGCTTTGATAATTAACGAAACAATAAACACCACCTTAACACAGCCAACAGCTCTTGTACCTGCTTTGTCACATAACGTGACTGAAAATGACTCTTGCAGACCTCACTATTTTATTTTCAACTCACAGGTAACTAAATATGCTTATTTTCTCAAAAGAAGAGTTTAGGGAAGAAAAGAGGGAAGCTATTCACTCCCAGGGTAAAGGGAGGAGGATAATAGGTGCTTTATAGAAAACATGTGATTAGCTAATTATTGAGGACTGTGAAGAAAGTTTTGGTTTACATCTGAAAATAGATTGAGAATTGAGATAATCATATGGTGCTAATAATTGACACATTCAGAAGTGAGGATATTGATCATACTTCATGAACAGATTAGAAGAATGGAAGCTAATTACACAAAGGAAACTTAGGCTTTGATTCTAAGATTGTTTACATAAAATATATGCTGCGGAAATGTGACAGCATGAGTTCGTTACATCAGATTAAGTAGATTTTTACGTTTTCTTTCAGACTGTCTATGCTGTGCCAATTCTGATCTTTTCATTTGTCTGTCATCCTGCTGTTCTTCCCATCTATGAAGAACTGAAAGAGTGAGTATTTCATTTTTACATAAATTTGAGAAAATATTAGACAATTGCTGTAACTGCTGCTGAAATATATATTTGAATTTTCTCTTGAATTACATAGCCGCAGCCGTAGAAGAATGATGAATGTGTCCAAGATTTCATTTTTTGCTATGTTTCTCATGTATCTGCTTGCCGCCCTCTTTGGATACCTAACATTTTACGGTAAGTAACGCCTCCTTTACCAAAACAAAAACAAAAACAAAAAAAAACGCTTATTGAAATGAAGCTGCTAGTTTTCTATGTGTAGTTCCATCACTTTAAAAATAGTCTGTTTTAATATATTTCATATTTGTGATGAGAAATTAAATTTAGAGCTTAGAATTTTCTGTAGTGTATTTAATCAGTAATTTCTAGAATCCAGGTTTGAAAATATCATTAATCATTTGATGGCATATTTGTATGATATGCCAGCCTCTGAGTTCATATTGCCTGTCTCCTCTCCCATCACCTTCAGACTATGTAACACAAACACAAATTGCAAGCCAAGCCAGGAGATTTAGCTGCTTAACTCCTGTTGTTTTTAATGGGAGTCATGTGGCTAAATCTCTGTGGTATTTAGAAAAATTTTCCTTCAATGTTACTTTAATTGCATTAACTATAATTCCAAACAAATCTTATTAGCCTCTTAGTTTATAGTCGTTTTGTGAGTAGCTAAATAACTGGTGCACATTTTGCTGTTAAATTTTCTACTTGGTGTCCAATGAAAACAGCCAATCAAAGTTTTTTTGGTCTTTCCCTGTAGAACATGTTGAGTCAGAATTGCTTCATACCTACTCTTCTATCTTGGGAACTGATATTCTTCTTCTCATTGTCCGTCTGGCTGTGTTAATGGCTGTGACCCTGACAGTACCAGTAGTTATTTTCCCAGTAAGTAATCACTTGCTCTGCTTTCAGTAGGAAGGAGTTTTTAGACATGTGAATATTGGTGAGATTTTCATCTTCTGGAAGAAGGGAAACACCAGTAGAACAATACTAAGTTGGTGGTGGTTTTGAAGGGGCTTTTTAAAAATACAGTGTATATTTTCAAAATACCCTGGGGACATTTTTTTCACCATAAGATATAAAATGATCTTTAAGTGTTCAGATGTTCAGGAAACAGCAGAGAAAGAGGCACAGTTTTATTTAGAAATAGTTACTATTTTGGATAGATTCCTTGTTACTTGGGCATTCTTTTCATTCATTGAAGCTGGATTTTTAAATTTTATATTGCTGCTATTTTTAAAATACATTTTATTTATTTTTTTTGCAGATCCGGAGTTCTGTAACTCACTTGTTGTGTGCATCAAAAGATTTCAGTTGGTGGCGTCATAGTCTCATTACAGTGTCTATCTTGGCATTTACCAATTTACTTGTCATCTTTGTCCCAACTATTAGGGATATCTTTGGTTTTATTGGTAAGTTTTAGAAAGTATCCAAGTGGATTCAAACATCAGGGATTTTAAGATTTAAAGAATGAATGACGAGTGGTTCATTGAATCCTCAAGAAACATAAATGTTGTTTTACAGGTGCATCTGCAGCTTCTATGTTGATTTTTATTCTTCCTTCTGCCTTCTATATCAAGTTGGTGAAGAAAGAACCTATGAAATCTGTACAAAAGATTGGGGTGAGTGAAAGATTATAACCATAGAAACAGTAATAATATCATAAATTTCCCCAACTGATTTTAATTTTATTCTCATAGCTGTTATTTGTTATGGTTTCACTTTTAAGTTTCCAGCAAACATTTCTGTAATGGTATACTTCACAGATGGAAGATTGCAGAGGGAAGGGGAAAGATAGTTTGCCATCTAATGAACACTTAAATTAATTGCAATAAAGTTATTAGATACTTTGGAGATAGGAATAGGGATGAAGACTAGATGAGATACTCAGCTTTCAACATTTGTTCAACCAGTTTTCACTGGACTGCCTACTGTGTGACAGGCACTTAAATGGGCATTGAATATATAAAAGAGAAGGAAGGGCTGTTTAGTTGAATGAGACTGACCATCTTCAGAGCGAAGCTCTCAGGGAGGCCGTCTCTTCATGGTGTTTACTATTATGTATCTACTCTAAAGTGTAGTACCAGTTGGTGACAGAGAATGATGTGCTAACCACAAATGATGTGGTTCCTAGAACCAGAATCCTGGTGGTGATATTTAGGAAAAAGACTGCTTTTTAGTCATTATTTTCTCCTTCATTCTGCTCTGATTAAAGTACTAGAATTGTTTATAAACCAACAACTGTCATCTTGTTTTACTCTAAATTACATAGTGGCAGTATTGAAGGGTAGGATTTAGGAATTAGTATTTCCTGGAAAGACCTCTGGCTTTGACTTTTGCTGCATTTTAGGATGATTTGGGTTTGATTTTGTGACTTGACTTTCATTCTAAAAAATTGCAAAAAAAAATCCAGTCCAGTTCTATATGAAGCAGTTTGTTTAGCAAGAAAATTCCCTGTCACTTGAGACAAAGGAATGAAAAAGTGAAAAAGTTCAGAAGGCCTCAAAGGTAGTTATTGTGTACTGCAGATAACATACTGATCACTTAGGAGTTTATATTTAGCAAGTTAAATATTCTTTCTATAGATTATATAGTGGATAGATTTTAGTAATTAAAGCACATTTCAAAAAATAGAAGAAATGTTTAGCATATATGTTTTATTACTTGCTGATCAATTTTCTCTATGCTCTTTGCAGGCTTTGTTCTTCCTGTTAAGTGGTGTACTGGTGATGACCGGAAGCATGGCCTTGATTGTTTTGGATTGGGTACACAATGCACCTGGAGGTGGCCATTAATTGGCACCACTCAAACTCAAACTCAGTCCATCTGATGCCAGTGTTGAGTAAACTCAACTACTATGAAATTTCACCTAATGTTTTCAGTTTCACTTCCTTTTGAAGTGCAGATTCCTCGCTGGTTCTTCTGAGTGCAGAATAAGTGAACTTTTTTGTTTTGTTTTGTTTTTTTAAGAAACTTATCTGTATGTTAGAAATGGATATGAACAACAAAACCACGAGTCTCGGGTTAAGGGAAGTGACAATTTTATTCCATTCCAGAGAATGGACAAACTCTTAACTTTTATCAAGCCACATGCTTGGCTGTGTCATTGTTTAACTTGGATATTTTATGATTTTACTTGAATGTGCCTAATGGAACCATTTGATGTGAGAAACAATTCTTTTTAATTTACAGCAAAATATTGAATAACCATTGACAAAAACACTATTATTTTTTGTACCAAAAATACTTAAAGACCTCAGAAGCACTCTTTTACTTTTAAGAAATTGCTTTTTTGAACTTTATTCAGAAGCAGTTATCAATAAATTCCATAAAATAATGTCATTGGTATTTAAAAATGAATATTAATATAATGAAATGGTTTGCCTTTTTGTAGGCATAATAAGCCAAATACTTTTTTACCCAAAATAATTTTTAGAGAAAATGATGTAATGAAAAATTGTACCATGAATTAGGAGCATAGTTTTTTCCATTTAAACGTCACCATTACTTAAAAGATGATTGATTATTGCTATACCAAATCAGATGAACTCTGTTCATCACTTTTCTTCTCTGTCCCCAAACAATTTGGTTCATTCAGACTGAAATGTTTGTGTCTTCAACTTATTAGAATGGAAGATAATGCAGATATTTCTGTGGGAAATAAAATAACTAATTTTGAGGTACCAAATAGTGCAATTGGGTAAAACAGGGTTTATTCAGTTGCATCTGTCTCCAGTGTTGTATTGACAGCTCTGGGTCTTTTTTTGGGCCAGCCCTTTTTTGACATTGCTTCCAGCAGTGGAAAATGGGCATTTGATGGCAATAGGCCAAAATTATTGTGTCCAGAGAGTACACTTTTTCAAAATGCTCACCTACTGGAAGTGTGAATTACTTGACAATGTATGGCTTAGTTGTGTTCATGTTTTGTCTACAGTAGAGGTCTAATCCACAGGTTACACCTATGTTTGATATGATATAAGTTCTCTTTGCGTAGGCCACTGGGTTTCTCATGCAGTAAGCTTTATAAAAACTCATTTGCACTGGACTGTCATCTCATTCTTGTACAACGTAGAATTACTTGTTTACATCCAACAAATGGTTAGCTAGGGAAAACAGTGCAAACTGAGTGTTAGTAGTCATTTTGGTCCAACTGCATGTCAACCCTTCCATTTCAATCCCAGTTAGAAATGAAAATAATTACTTTGAAACTTGGCTTTAAGAGCACATTTATCGTACGTCACAGTGTATGGTGAATATATTATTAAATAATGTGGTACTTCGCTCATCAGGCATAATGTCTAAAATCTAATATACATAATTCCATTAAGTGGTTGAAGGAAGCAAATAATGGAATTGTCAATTGGTCATCTGGCTGTAAGGTTTGCCCTTGAACTAAAAATGTTGTTTGGGGCAAGGGCCAGAAATGTGGAGACATGGTTTTTGTTACGCATTCTTGTATTATATGTGACTAAATTTACAAACAAGATACATGTGTAATTAAAGACCCTTATGGAACTGGAAGACGTCTTGTAGTGCTACATTGGGTGAAACCGTTGGTCCATTTTTGTCTGTTTCTATGAAGATAAAATAATTGGGGGCCATCTAGAAATAGAAAGGCAGTGGGAAGACAGATTCTACGGCACTGCTTTCATTTAATTGGGCTTTAGGCACTCCATTCGAATGCAGAACCTCACCTCTAGTTGAGACCAAGAATTGGCAAATTTGCATGAGCTCCTGGAAAGAGTTGCTGACTTTGTATCTAAGACCTGCCAGGGAATACCAAGAGTTGTTTCTACAGACTTTTTTTTTTTTTTTTGTATGGGAGAAGATACTGTGGCAACCAGGAAGGAATGGAAAAAAAATTCTTTTCTCTACAGCAAATTAATGTGAGGAAGCTCCTCCAATCCTCTGGCTATTTAAGGTTCAAAATCAAGTGCCTAGGGAAAATTCCAATGGATGATTTTCTGGGAGCTATCTTGTCTACCTTGAGGTTCCTGAACAATGAATTCCCATTAATGAGCAGTCTTCAGTATTAAAACCACTGTCTTGTCACCTCATTTTGCATTACTGTCTTCCGTGGATGTTTCAGTTACAACTGTAATGTTATTTATAGAACAACATTAATCCATTAAAGCTAACCTATTTTTCAATATTTATGATAATCTATGTACATATATTGTCTGTCCATATGTATTTGTAAATAGGTTGTATATAATGTCAGGTTTGGGTCTTGGGTTCAAGTGTATATATTCCTGTAAGTTTCTTAACTGCATTTTGATGAATTCACATTATGTAACTATAAGAATTGTCCCAAAAGTACCTGTACAGAAAATTGAATATTGAAAAATTGACAAATTGTGTACAAACACTAAAAAAAACTTGTTTAAATTGTATTTGCAATAAACAACATCAAATTTTTTCATGAAATCTTGGTACAAATTCAGATCTCTTATTTAAAATTTAAATAAGGAATACATTTTCAAAATGCAGTAATCAAAATGTGATCTAGTGTAATGAAATAAAATGTGATCTAGTGTAATGGAAGACCTTTGAGAACCTGGGTGTATTAACTTTGTGTATATAGTGTAAATATCCCCACTGTACTGTTAGAGGCCAACAATTCTAGTATGGCTTGTTGGCAAAGAGTGCTACACCGTTTCAATGAAACAATGTATGTTTGTTTTAACTGAACTAAAATAAATACATGCTTAATCCTGAGTAGCAGTGTTTTTTGTTTTGTTTTGTTTTGTTTTTTTCAGGTAATGGGATAGGCAGTGTCTAATGCAAATTGCATTGTAACTGCAGTACCTAGCACCTAGTAGGTGTCCATATGTTTGTGATGAATGGTCAGGAAAAAAAGTTTAGGTTCCCAGAGATTCTAAGTTTCCAAAGTGAGAAGGAATGGAAAGTCTTGGAGAGTTGGGGGAAGATGCTAAAATGCATCATAAGAGCCCAGGCTCAGCCCTGCTGATGGAAATAAATAGGTCAATAATGTATCAGAATCAACTGGAGAGCCTTTTAAAACCACAGCTTTCTGAAACGTGCCTAGTTTGTCTGATTGCAAAGGTCCAGCTGTAGGGTAGCCCAGGATCTGGTTTTTTACTTAAGAAGGCCACTCGGGTGATAATGATGCACAAACTCCAGGAGCAATCAAGTGGCCTGGAAAGAAGTTGGGATATGTTCAGTTTGGTGAAAAAGTCACAGGAAAAGAGGAATTAATGGACAAGCTGGTGCGTGTAACAGCATGGTTTTACTTGAGCAACAGTGGAAGTGGGAAGGTTACTAAGATACACAGGCTAGTTTAGGTATGGCCTACTGATAAGTCCGAAAAGCTTGAGGCTTGTGAAATGAAATAACCAGAGCTGAAACAGAAAAGACCACACCTTGGGATAGTCAAGTATGCCTGATGGTAGTTCCAAAGTCAGGAAACGTCTCCAAGAAACTTAATATGCAGTTACTAATGATGGTCAAATGAGAAGGATTAGGAAAGGCAGCAGAATTTGCAACAAATCAATTGAAGAATGACTTGTGGAATTTTCAAGTATTCATAGGCAAGCTCTAACTGAACACCTACCATATGCAACTAACATGCTCATTGGAAAGAGGGTAGGGTTATGTGTCAGACGAGTTCTAACAAAATCCATACACTTTCAAATGTGCTATTTTTTAGAAAAAAATGATACCAGCTGGTCGTGGTGACATACCTGTAGTCCTAGCTACTCCAGAGGCTTAGGCAATAGCAGTACTTGAGCCCAGGAGCTTGAGACTAATCTGGACAGCATAGTGAAACCCTTTGTCTCAAATAAATAAAATACAAAAAATTACCAAAGTGAACCAGAATGCAAATTTATTTATCTACAATTAGAAATATACTGGGTGAAGCCAGGCGTGGTGGCTCATGCCTCTAATCCCAGCACTTTAGGAGGCCAAGGAGGGTGGATTGCTGAAGCCCAGGAGTTCAAGATCAGCCTGGGCAACATGGTGAAACCCCATCTCTACAAAAAAATACAAAAATCAGCCAGGTGGTGTGCACCTGTAGTCCCTGCCACTTGGAAGCCCAGGGAGGTCAAGGCTGCAGTGAGCCGTGATCATGCCACTGCACTCTAGCCTGGGTGACAGAGTGAGACCCTGTTAAAAAAAAAAAAAAAAAAAATTGGGAGTGAAGGAAGGCAGGAAGGGAGTGAGAAAGGAAAGAAATTGGGTTGACATGTCCACTGAATATAAAAATACGGTACTCTAACCAGGGAGCTAGCTATTCCAGAGAGATTTCCATTAAGCTTAAGGAATATTCTAGGAACATTTCTAAATAAAGAACCAGAGCTGTTTGTCTTGACGTAGAAATTTAGAAATACACCTGGACATTTGGCTTAGTCAAATTTCTGATAACAAAAAAATCCGTTTAAATTAGTTTAAGCAAGAATGGCAGATGGAGAGAACTCCTTAAAAGATTGGGATGCCTCAGAGAATTAAAAGATAAACAGCTTCCAAAAATCAAAAACTGTCTTTGTTTTAGAGACCTCAATGACAGAAATGTGTGAAATTTCACTATAGAACTATGCAACTAGATTCTGAGCTTCTTGTTTTCAGTTCAATTTCTCAATACAAATCGGCCAGTAATGGGTCAAGATTCCACCCTAATCTCAAATGTAGTTTGGTGGGCAGGGTAACACAGTACAAATAGCTGCCAGGACCTACCCATATGGTGGGCAGAATAGTTTTCAGAGGAGAGGTACAATGGTCATGCACTAGAAATAGGCTAGAAAACTGGGACCAACTGTCCTGTTTTAACACTGAAAGTCCTGCATCCTGGAAACCACAGTCCCAGGCAAACTGGGAATGGTTGGTAACCCTAGCTAAGAAGGCAACCCCCAAAATGTTTAATGAAACAGTCCAGAGATATTGATACATTTATTTTCTTTGGATTTCTTTTCTCTAGGCTTCCATGCAGGACACTAACCTTCTTTTATGACTTTGCCCCAATTCAATGGTTGATTGCTTCCTCAAATCACATTTTTTCTGACTTCCCCACCACAACAGCTATAAGCTTCATAGGAACAGACATCTATCTTTTAATCAATTTATCCCCAACACAGCCGAGCGCGGTAGCTCATGCCTCTAATCCCAGCACTTTGGGAGGCTGAGGTGGGCAGATCAAGAGGTTAGGAGATTGAGACCATCCTGGCTAACACAGTGAAACCCCCTCTCTACTAAAAATACAAAAAATTAGCCGGGCGTGGTGGCGGGCACCTGTAGTCCTAGCTACTCGGGAGGCTGAGGCAAGAGAATGGCATGAACCTAGCAGGTGGAGCTTGCAGTGAGCCGAGATCGCACCACTGCACTCCAGCCTGGGTGACAGAACAAAACTCCGTCTCAAAAACAAACAAACAAACAAAAAAATTATCCCCAACACTCAGAACAGTATCTAGCAAATGGTACACAGGTACTCAATATAATTGTTGGAATAAAGGTACCCTTGATTTCTTATAGTTTCTTATAGTATAGTGGAGGTGAGGCTCAAACTTTTAAGCAAGAATTTACTAAACGCTTGCAAGATAAATACTGCATGTGACATGAAATTAGACACTTTGACTTAAAAGATATAATATCGCTCACTTACCTTCAACCAGAGGCCCACAACAGGAAGGCTTTCTTAGTTCACCTGTGATCGGCCTCCAGATGGCAAAGCCATCTTTAACCTCTACCACATAAGTGATTTTGTGGCAGTGAAATCCCTTTTTCAAATTCTAGCCAGATTTGGTTCTGCTCTACATATTGTGAGGAAAGAGTTAACACAGCAAGTCCGGTGGCTCCCTCCTATGTCTTCAAGGGAACCATGAGTGACCCTTGACTAACTCCTGGGAATGTGGCCCTCAGAAGGTTCTTTATGTTAATGACTGATGATTTTATTATATTCACCTGGAGCAATGGACCATGCTGAACTGGTTTGTCAGTTTGCTTTGCACAAACACCAAGGTTAATCATGTACACCTGGTTTCATTGTTGGGGTCCTGATTTTGGGTGGCCAAGGATGGTTGCACAGCTGGATATGCCTATGTTAACTAGCACCCCACCTCCTTACCCTTCCAAAAACATGGATCCCTGAGACTTATTTGGGCTTCGCTGAGCAGAGAAAATCCACACATTTCCTCATAGTTCACTGCTAGAAAAAGAACACACCTGTATGATCTTGGATAAGAAAGGTATTAAAGCCTGTGCTGGACCTCTCTAGACTCCACAGTTGCATATATTTTTCCTGTTACTCTGTATCCTTTCCTGTGATAAATCTTAGCAGTGAGTATTACCTGCTACTGAGCCGTGGGAGTCCTGGCGAATCAGCAAATGAAATGTGTGTAGTTTCTGTTTTTTCTCTACACCATCAGTTTAGAAACCTCAGTGCCTCTTGGCTTCTCCAAAAAGAATCTATCCTCAGTAAAAGCTCCAAGCATTACCGTGCAAGTTTTATTAAATAATACTGGGGGTCAGGAGGATTAGATAGCAAAGGAGGGTTTTACATTGCACACCTTACTGCATGCAACTTTATAAAATCCCATTTGACAGATCTTCCAAGTCCCTCTGGTGGTGTGAATTAGAGATTGTCTCTGTCTGCCCTTCCTCCCACACCATCTATGGCCTGTCCCCTCTTCTTCTGGGTAGTTCGACTCTGCCTTCAAATCTGCCTATTCTTCTCAGAAAAACAAAAGCTTTGAAGTTATCAGAATTTACCTTCCTGAGATGAGAGTTTACTGGCCATACATTTTTGTTTCCATTCTGCTCTTGAAGACCTCACTTCTACTCCAACCCTTCCTAAATGACTTTTCTAAGTATTGTTTATCTAGCAACTTACAGTACTTTTTCTAAAAGGAGCTCTGGTAAATAAATTCAACTTTTTCATCAGATTACCTTAAAAATATCTACAGTAGATCCTAATCTAAAAAGTAGGTGAAGAGAGAGCTCTGCTTGTTGAAACAGGGTTATGAGTGAAATCTAGAGACTGAGAACTCAGCCTCCCAACTGCTTTTCACCTGCTTCATCCCTCCATTTACCCATAATGGTCCATGAGGTGCTGCCTTAACCTGGGCCTCTATGGAATGTGATTTGAAAAACATGGCTCTAAATTATTTCAAGAGAACAAGACCTCATGATGATAAGATTCCTACCAGCCTGACGTTTAGCTTCTGAGTCCCCATTTTCTGAGAACAGCCTCTTTCTCTCCTTACTGACAGGATGGTGGCCTTAGCCTCCCTATACAACACGATTATCTTTAGCTCGGTATAACGCATTAACCTCAAGATTGACGTGAGGTTCACATAGAGGCCAGGTGTCCTGGACTGCAGATGTGTTGCTGAGTAGATACTCAAGTTTTTCCAGGTATCTCCAAAGCAGGGCAAGTGAAGAAGTCAAAGTGGAAAATAGACACAGATGTCATGTAATCTACCTCCTGTTCCCTAGTCAACAGTGATGGTCTTTTTAAATAGGAAAGGGAAGACATCTTAAAGAAGAATGTGTTGACCTTCAGTTAGATTCATTTCTGAAGATCTTTAATGGTTTATGACAAGTAATCATAAACCAATACTGAATCATTTGTTTCTCAGGGATGTGGGGAATTATTCCTGGGTCCTAAATGTGCAACTTGAACTTTCAAAGTTATCATATATTCTTCCTGAAAATGTAGCAAAATTGCACACCAGTCATTTTTTAAAGAGAGATATCTGGTCAATAAGGCAATGAAAGAAGCCAAATAATATATCAAGGATGCCCATTTTAAGGATACAATTCCAACAAGCAACTATTTATTTTTATTTTCTTCTTTTTTTTAAACAAAGTCTCACTCTGTTGCTCAGGCTGGAGTGCACTGGCACAGTCATAACTCACTGCAGCCTGGACCACCCAGGCTCAAGCAATCCTCCCACACTAGCCTCCCAAGTATCTGGAACCACAGGCCCATGCCACCACAGCCAGTTAATTATTGTATTTTTTTGTAAAGACGGGTTTTTTTTGCCATGTTGCCCAGGCTGGTCTTGAACTCCTGGGCTCAAGTGATCTGCCCTCCTTAGCCTCCCAAAGTGCTGGTATTGCAGGCATGAACCACCATGCATGACCTATTTATTTTTCTAAATGGGAAATATGCCCCTTAAGTTTTGGTAAATGATAAATTTTCTTCCAGTGTCACCAGTTTATATCTTATCATGGAATCATGGTATGTTCTAAACCAAAAATAAACTGTATTTCTTTTTATTTCCTTTCATTTTCTCCGTATTTCCCTTTAAAGTGACTGAAAGTCTCAAGAGATGTGGAACTCATGGTTCACAACCCTTCTGCTTCAGATAGAGGAATTGTATTTTTAAACTGATCCCTAAATAGAAAGATCCAAAGAAGGAAATATGTGGAATATGAAAATCTCTTCTCAAAATGCATGAGAGCCTCATAAATTTGGAAACATTCTTCTCTCATAAACTGCTCCAAAAAGAAATGTTTAGTACTTACGGCCTATATTGAAGGCAATGGAGCAAGAGAGCATTGCTTCATTCTTGTGGGGGAGAGACAGTGAATTATATTTTAAACAAGCATTCTTTCTTTTTTTTAAAAAAAAAAAATGTAAACAATGATACACTTGGAAGCCTATAATTCCCAATAAACTATCACAGATTTTACTGTAATATTTATGGCAAAGGAGTTAATTATCTACAATGCCAGTAATTGCTCCACACTAGTTTTCACAATGCCACACTATTTCTGGAAAGCTCTCCCCTTCGTGGGGAAAGAGAATGATCTTGTAGTTGTGCAGAGATGGATTCAAGCTCTGGTTTGCCATTATCAGTTGTGTGATCTCCAGCAAGCTCCTTAACCTACTCATGCTTCAGTTGCTTCACTTTGTAATAAAATTTAATGTAACTCACATGATTTAGTGCTTCAGGTACTGCACAGAAGGTAATCACCTTAATCCCCTAAGGCAGGTACTTTTTTAATCTGCATTTTACTGAAGAAGAAACTAAAGCTTTTAGGTTAGAGACTCAACCTTAACAGGTTAAGTAACTTGCCTAGAAAGCAGTACAGCTGAAACTAAAGCCCTAGTCCTTATCTCATGCTCTTAATCCACTTACTTTACAATTTGCAATTGCAAAAATATGGAACCAGCTCAAATGCCCATCAATCAATGAGTGGAGATATATACACACACACACACACACACACCATGGAATACTAATTAGTCATAATAAGGAAAAAAATAACGGCTTTCACAACAACCTGGATGGAATTGGAGACTATTATTCTAAGTGAAGTAACTCAGGAATGGAAAGCCAAACATCATATGTTCTCACTTATAAGTGGGAGCTAAGCTATGAGGATGCAAAGGCATAAGAATGATACAATGGTCTTTGGGCACTTGGGGGAAAGGGTGGGAGGGGAGTGAGGAATAAAAGACTACAGATTAAAAAAATAAAAATAAGAAATTATCAAAAAAATAAAAGTAAGTATGAATATTAAACAGCCATTTTCAGGGTTATTTTGGATGTTAAATGAAGTAACCCAAAAAGTAGCTTTAACTGTGTATACCACACAATGGAATATTATACAGCACTGAAAATGAGTGAACTACAGTTCATTTTTGTAATAAACAAAATTTTTAAAAAAATCAAGTCCCACAATAACACAAACGTCTAGTATTATATCCTTTTGTAAATTTCAAAACAACTAAAATGAAATGATATCTTTATTAGTATACTTATATATTTGATACAACAATTACAGAAAAAAGCAAAGGAATGATGTACACAGCATTCAAGATAGTGGTTAGTTTGGAGAGGGAGAGAAAGGGTATGGTGGGAGAGCACGTAGGCAGATGCAAGTTACTGTCAATGTTGTAGTTTGTTGGTGTTCCTAGGGGAAAGATGGAGAAAAATAGACACACAAAAGAGGACCCATGTGGACCAATCATGAGAGTGCTGTGAAGCAGACTGATTACTCCAATTATGTATTTTTGAAGTCCACAAAAAAGTGACTTTTATTCAGCCTGAATCATAAGAAATTTCCAATTTTCTGTCATTTTTTGACCTATCAAATGAAATTTTATATGGTTTGACCTGATATGTATTAATAAATTTTGGTTTCCTCTATTGACCCTTTCTCTAGCTTGCTTGATATAATGAGGTGCCTACATAATTCCACAGTGCCCTGAACCCATCAGCTTCCCCAATGTGGGCTATGAGTCAGATAGGTGATTTCCAATCCCAATACTAATTATTGGCCTGAGTCCCAAAGGTTTTATCAAAGTGACAGGTTCATCTAGCATGCTGAATAATTATTGAATCAATGATCACTCAAAATCTCAAAGTAGTTCAATGAGAGAAGAAAAAGATTACAATAGATAAAGAATAGGTTCAGAAGTCTAGGGACAGAGAAATATATTAGAAAAGATCACAGACCCGGCCGGGCATGGTGGCTCACGCCTGTAATCCCAGCACTTTGGGAGGCCGAGGCAGGTGGATCACAAGGTCAGGAGTTCAAGACCAGCCTGGCCAAGATGGTGAAAACCCGTCTCTACTAAAAATACAAAACATTAGCCAGGCATGGTGGCACGTGCCCATAATCCCAGCTACTCCAGAGGCTGAGGCAGAGAATTGCTTAAACCTGGAGAGGCGGAGGTTGCAGTGAGCCGAGATCGTACCACTGCACTCCAGCCTGGGCGACAGAGCAAGATTCCACCTCAAAAAAAGAAAGAAAGAAAGAAAGAAAAGATCACAGACCCAAATAGCTGGCTCCTTCTAGTCCTGTCCATTGTGACGAGGAGATATGCCTTACTGCTTTGAGGTTTCCTCTAAGATGCTAAAGGCTCTGCAGCCCCTCCAAGGACCTAATCTTGAAATCCATACTCCATACTGGCATCCACTTCTGCCTTCCTAGTCAGCCTTACTCCTAGACCTTGTCTTTGACCTCTGAGGCTGTTTCCATTTCTGGCATCTGTAGACAGGACCCTTCCTGTAGCCCTTGGCTTGCAACCCTGTTCAGTTAGTTTCAGGCCACTGGCATTTCTACAATCTACTCTTGACTTCCAGCCTTGCCCCCTTCCAATTCATTTCCCTTATGGCAGTCAGGCTGATTTTTTCCATGGAACACATGTGATCATGTCAGTTCTATTAAAATCTTAAAGTGGCTTCCTGTATCTCTCAGTATAAACTTTCAAATCTTCACAGCACTCATGACCAGGACTCTTCCCTCCTCCCCAGCTCTGCATCATAGCATTTTATCACCTCTTACTTCATGTCCCAATCACAAAGAATTGTTTGCAGATCTCTGGACACACCATCCTCTTACACCTCCATGCCTTTGTATATGCCTTTGTACATGCTTTGTCTTCTGCCTGGAATGCTGTTTCCTGCTCTTCTGCTGGGTAATACCCATTTTTAATCAACACACAAATCAAGCACCACCTCCTGCAAAAAGCCTCCCCTAACATCCTGCCTGTGTTTTTCCTCGTGGGCTCCCAGGGTTTCCTGTGCTCTAGCCAAGCACATGTTTGACTTTGTCTTCCTGTCCACCCGACCCACTAGACTAAAGCTAGTGGGAGACTATCCCTGTCCACCTAACCCACTAGACTGAAGCTAGGTCAGAGACTGTGTGCTCTTTTTTCCTGTACCCCAGCACCTAACAGTGCCAGGAATAGCGGCCACATGAATGTTTGCTGAGTTACTAGATGGAAACCATTACAGCCCCATTTCAGACCAAGCCTTCAGCTGAGTCTTACCCCAACCCTTAGCAATACTTTCAGATGGCTGTACGTGTCAGACCCTGAGATAAACATTAAGCACCCAAAAATAGAGAAGGCTTTTTTTGTCCTTTAAGAAGTTCACAATCAAGGTAGGGGAAAAATAGTTAACTATAACTTAAATTTAGAAGTGCTATCATAAAGCAGTACAGTAAATGATGGAATAATGATTTAGTGTAGTATAGGATTCAGAGAGTAGGCTTGAATCCACACCTGGATTTAAATTGCAATGCATTCCTAGATGTGCGGCCTTGAGAATATTACTTTCCTAGACCTAAATTTAAAACTCTGCATAGGGGAAGCAGGCAAGAAATAACTAAGATCAGAGAAGAACTGAAAGAGATAGAGACACAAAAAACCCTTCAAAAAATCAAAGAATCCAGGAGCTGGTTTTTTGAAAAGATCAACAAGATTGATAGACCATTAGCAAGACTAATAAAGAAGAAAAGAGAGAAGAATCAAATAGATGCAATAAAAAATGATAAAGGGGATATCACCACCGATCCCACAGAAATACAAATTACCATCAGAGAATACTATAAACACCTCTATGCAAATAAACTAGAAAATCTAGAAGAAATGGATAAATTCCTCAACACATGCACCCTCCAAAGACTAAACCAGGAAGAAGTTGAATCCCTGAATAGACCAATAACAGGCTCTGAAATTGAGGCAATAATTAATAGCCTACCAACCAAAAAAAGGCCAGGACCAGATGGATTCACAGCCAAATTCAACCAGAGGTACAAGGAGGAGCTGGTACCATTCCTTCTGAAACTATTCCAATCAATAGAAAAAGAGGGAATCCTCCCTAACTCATTTTATGAGGCCAGCATCATCCTGATACCAAAGCCTGGCAGAGACACAACAAAAAAAGAATTTTAGACCAATATCCCAGATGAATATCGATGTAAA
Organism: Homo sapiens; assembly: GCF_000001405.40. Lineage (NCBI taxonomy): Eukaryota > Metazoa > Chordata > Mammalia > Primates > Hominidae > Homo > Homo sapiens. Next base: position 46,348,226 of record NC_000012.12, on the reverse strand, counting down.
AATCCTCAAAAAAATACTGGCAAACCGAATCCAGCAGCATATCAAAAAGCTTATCCACCATGTTCAAGTGGGCTTCATCCCTGGGATGCAAGCCTGGTTCAACATATGCAAATCATTAAATGTAATCCAGCCGATAAACAGAACCAAAGACAAAAACCACATGATTATCTCAATAGATGCAGAAAAGGCCTTTGACAAAATTCAACAGCCCTTCATGGTAAAATCTCTCAATAAGTTAGGTATTGATGGGACATATCTCAAAATAATAAGAGCTATCTATGACAAACACACAGCCAATATCATACTGAATGGGCAAAAACTGGAAGCATTCCCTTTGAAAACTGGCACAAGATAGGGATGCCCTCTCTCACCACTCCTATTCAACATAGTGTTGGAAGTTCTGGCCAGGGCAATCAGGCAGGAGAAAGAAATAAATGGTATTCAATTAGGAAAAGAGGAAGTCAAACTGTCCCTGTTTGCAGACAACATGATTGTATACTTAGAAAACCCCATTGTCTCAACCCAAAATCTCCTTAAGTTGATAAGCAACTTCAGCAAAGTCTCAGGATACAAAATCAATGTGCAAAAGTCACAAGCATTCTTATATACCAATAACAGATAAACAGAGAGCCAAATCATGAGTGAACTCCCATTCACAATTGCTTCAAAGAGAATAAAATACCTAGGAATCCAACTTACAAGGGATGTGAAGGACCTCTTCAAGGAGAACTACAACCACTGCTCAGTGAAATAAAAGAGGTTACAAACAAATGGAAGAACATTCCATGCTCATGGATAGAAAGAATCAATATGAAAATGGCCATACTGCCCAAGGTAATTTATAAATTCAATGCCATCCCCAACAAGCTACCAATGACTTTTTTCACAGAATTGGAAAAAACTACTTTAAAGTTCATATGGAACCAAAAAAGAGCCTGCATTGCCAAGACAATCCTAAGCAAAAAGGACAAAGCTGGATGCATCATGCTATCTGACTTCAAACTATGCTACAGGGCTACAGTAACCAAAACAACATGGTACTGGTACCAAAACAGAGATATAGACCAATGGAACAGAATAGAGCCCTCAGAAATAATACCACACATCTACAACCATCTGATCTTTGACAAACCTGACAAAAGCAAGAAATGGGGAAAGGATTTCCATTTAATAAATGGTGCTGGGAAAACTGGCTAGCCATATGTAGAAAGCTGAAACTGGATCCCTTCCTTATGCCTTATACAAAAATTAATTCAACATGGATTAAAGACTTAAATGTTAGACCTAAAACCATAAAATCCCTAGAAGAAAACCTAGGCAATACCATTCAGGACATAGGCATGGACAAGGACTTCATGTCTAAAACAACAAAAGCAATGGCAACAAAAGACAAAATTGACAAATGGGAACTAATTCAACTAAAGAGCTTCTGCACAGCAAAAGAAACTACCATCAGAGTGAATAGGCAACCTACAGAATGGGAGAAAAATTTTGCAATCTACTCATCTGACAAAGAGCTAATATCCAGAATCTACAAAGAACTCAAACTAATTTACAAGAAAAAACAAACAACCCCATCAAAAAGTGGGTGAATTATATGAACAGACACTTCTCAAAAGAAGACATTTATGCAGCCAACAGACACATGAAAAAATGCTCATCATCACTGGCCATCAGAGAAATGCAAATCAAAACCACGATGAGATACCATCTCACACCAGTTAGAATGGTGACCATTAAAAGGTCAGGAAACAACAGGTGCTGGAGAGGATGTGGAGAAATAGGAACACTTTCTCACTGTTGGTGGGACTGTAAACTAGTTCAACCATTGTGGAAGACAGTGTGGAGATTCCTCAAGGATCTAGAACTAGAAATATCATTTGACTCAGCCATCCCATTACTGGGTATATACCCAAAGGAATGTAAATCATGCTGCTATAAAGACACATGCACACATATGTTTATTGCAGCACTATTCACAATAGCAAAGACTTGGAACCAACCCAAATGTCCAACAATGATAGACTGGCTTAAGAAAATGTGGCACATATACACCATGGAATACTAGGCAGCCATAAAAAAGGATGAGTTCATGTCCTTTGTAGGGACATGGATGAAGCTGGAAACCATCATTCTCAGCAAACTGTCACAAGGACAAAAAGCCAAACACCACATGTTCTCACTCATAGGTGGGAAATGAACAATGACAACACTTGGACACAGGAAGGGGAACATCACACACCAGGGCCTGTTGTGTGGGGAAGGGGGGGAGGGAAAGCATTAGGAGATATACCTAGTGTAAATGATGAGGTAATGGGTGCAGCACACCAACATGGCAGATGTATACATATGTAACAAACCTGCACGTTGTGTACATGTACCCTAGAACTTAAAGTATAATTTAAAAAATTTTTTTTTGTATTTTTAGTAGAGAGGGGTTTTGCCATGTCGGTCAGTCTGGTCTCGAAATCATGATTGGAGTGACCCTTCCGCCTTGGCCTCTCAGAGTGCTGGGATTACAGGTGTAAGCCACCATACCCGGCCTATTTTAAGATTTTAAATGTAATTATCCATTTAATTTATGACATACAATATTTAGAAAAAAATGCATAAAAAATAAGAAAATAAAACTCTGCATAGGGGAAATAATACATAGCAATTAGAAAAAACATGGTATTTTGGGGGAAGGGAGTATTGTGGTAAAATATATCTCACATAATATTTATCATTTTCTAATCATTCCTAAAAATATAGTTCAGTGGCATTAAATACATTCATAACGTCATGTAACTATCACCACTATCCATATTCAAAAGTTTTTCATCATCCTCAACAAAAACTCTGTACTCATTAAAGAGTAACTCCTCTTACCCCCTTCCCCTCAGCCCTGATAACCTCTATTCTGCTTTCTGTCTCTATAAATTTGTCTCTTCTAGGTACCTTTTATAAATGGGATCATGTAATATTTGTCCTTCTGTGTCCGACTTATTTCACTAAGCAGTGTTTTCCAGGTCCATCCATGTGGTAACATGTTTCAAAATTCCATTCCTTTATATGGTTGAATAATATTCCGTTGTATGTATAAGTTATAATTTGTCCATTCGTCTGTTGATGGACACTGAACTGTTTCCACTTTATTATAAACAATGCTGTTATGAACATTGGTATACAAATATCCGTTTGAGTCCCTGCTATCAATTTTTGGGATATACACCTAGGAGTGGAATTGCCGGGTCATATAGTAATTCTGTGTTTACCCTTTTGAGAAACTGCTGAACTATTTTCCATAGCCGCTGCATCATTTTGCATTACTACCAGCAAGGCACAAGGATTCCAATTTTTCCACCTCCTTGCCAGCACTTGTCTTTTTTTTTAATTATGGACATCCTAGGAGGTATGATTTAAAATAAGAACTAACTGAACCTTCCTAAATTTGATGGCATAATTCATGGAGAAGATGGATGACCTCTTTGGACATGAAAGATAAAGCTTCCTTTTTTACCCCCTATTGGGCATGGTTTGGAAAGCTGGAGAAGAGGATAAAATTAAGGAAGAATCAAAAAAGAGGTGGGGATTGTAGAGAATAAAGAGTTGAGGAGGCCAGGAGCAGTGGCTCCAGCCTGTAATCCCAGCACTTTGGGAGGCTGAGGCAGGCTGATCACCTGAGGTCAGGAGTTCAAAACCAGCCTGGCCAACATGGTGAAACCCCATCTCTACTAAAAATACAAAAATTAGCCGGGTGTGGTGGCATGTGCCTCTAATCTCAGCTACTCTGGAGGCTGAGGCAGGAGACTTGCTGGAACCAGGGAGGCAGAGGCTGCAGTGAGCCGAGATCATGCCACTGCACTTCAGTCTGGGCAACAGAGTGAGACTCCATCTCAAAAAGAAAAAAAAAAAATGACAGTTGAGGGCAGAAGTAGTAGGATGGAAGGAGAGGGCCCAGCTACACAGCAGGAAGCTGAGATACTTATTATAAGTGATACTACAAGAGGTAGCCAGAGGAAATGTTTCAGAGTATGATTGGTCAAGCAACTTTTAAGAAGAACAAACTTCAGTAATACTTTTAAAACAATTTTTAAAATTGTATTTTGTTTCCTTGAGAAAAGCAATATAAGCTCATGTATAAATTAAAAGCCCACCTTTTACTCATAATCCCCCAACCTCTAGTTCCGTTCTCCAGAGGCAACTGCTATTGGCAGTTTTTAATGTATTCTGTCAGAGATATTCTGGTTAATGCTGAATTTTATGTTGTTTGTTGTTCTGCAAGAAACCTACTGCTTGTTTCTTTTTAGGTCATTTTAATTGCTTTATGCTGGTGATGGTTGGTAAAGTTAAAGAAAAGGCCTGTGTTTCATGTTTGCAACTTGGATGCCAACTCAGCCATAGTAGGGTAGGGCACCAGGCAGAGTTGTGAGGCCCCATTACAGCCCTAGCTCCTGGATGTCATTTCTAGACACACACTGGGCCGGAAGAGAGCCTGCTGCCTTGAAGGGAAAGACTGAGTCTGGAAGAATTCATCACCTGCTGACTGTGAGCCATTGGCCTCTGAATAATCAGCAGTGGTAACCAGGTAGTACTCACTGTGGCCCATGGGTGAGACTCTGAGATGTACTGGCTTCAGGTGTGATACAGCACACTCACAGCTGTTGTGGCTACAAGAAGAGATACTTTATGTTTGAGAAAAGCAGAGAAACGATAAAGGGGACTTTGTCTTGCATCTTAGGTACCAGATAGGCCAGAGTGGAGAAAAGCACCAACTGGGGTGCTGGGGTCCCCAGTTTCAGGTGTTGGCTCTTGAATCACATTTTTGGACCTACACTGTGCCAGAGGGGAGACTACTGCCCTGAAGGGTGAGTCACAGGCCTGGCAGCATTTATTATAAGAGCGGACTAAAGACCACATGGGCCTTAAGTAAACATTGGTGGCACCATGGCAGTACTCCCTTGGGCTTGTGGTGGTGCTGGTGGACACAGGGAGAGACTCCTCTGCTTGGGGAAAGGGGAGAAAAGAGTGGAAGGGACCTTGTCTTGTAGTTTCAGTGCCAGCTTAGCCACAGTAGAATAGAGCATCAGGTAGATTTCTAAGGTTTTTGACTGTAGGTTCTGGCTCCTGGACAACATCTCTGGACCCACCCAGGGCCCAGGGGGAACTTGCTGCACTGCAGAGAAGGACATAAGACTTGTTGGCTTCACCACCTACTGATTGTAGAGCCTTGGGGCCTTGAGCAAATATAGGTGGTAGTCAGGTTGTGATTACAGTGGGCCTTGGGCAAGATCCAGCACTGTGCTGGCTTCAGTTCTGACTCAGCACAGTCCCAGTAGTAGAGGCCACAGGGGTGCTTGTGTTACTACAACCACTCCTAGTTCCAGGCAGCTCAGCATAGACAGAGGGAGACTCTGGGAGAAAGCAAGGGAAGAGAACAAGAGTCTCTGCCTGGTAATCCAGATAATCATTGCAGATCTTATCCAAGACCACTACGCAGTACCTCTACTAGGCTACAAGAATTATAGCATTACTGGGCTTGGAGTGCCCCCTAATGCAGATATGGCTGCAGTGACCAAAAACTTAGATCACAGTGCCCAATTCGCTTCAAATATCTGGAAAGCCTTCCCAAGAAGGACGGGTACAGACAAGTCCAGAATGAAAAGACTACAATAAATACACAACTCTTCAATGCCCAGACACTGACAAACATCCATAAGCACCAAGACCATCCCGAAAAACATGACCTCACCAAGCAAACTAAATAAGGCACCCAGGGGCAATACCAGAGAGACAGATATACATGACCTTTCAGACAGAGAATTCATAGTAGCTACTTTGAGGACACTCAAAGAAATTCAAGATAATGCAGAGAAGGAATTCATAATCTTATCAAATAAATTTAATAAAGAAATAGAATAAGTTTTTAAAATCAAGAAGAAACTCTGGAGTTGAAAAATGCAACTGACATACTCAAGAATACACCAGAGTCTCTTAATTGCAGGATTGATCAAGCAGAAGAAAGAATTAGTTAGCTTGAAGACAGCCTATTTGAAAATACAAAGTCAGAAGAGAAAAAAGAAAAAAGAATAAAGCACATTTACAAGATCTAGAAACTAGCCTCAAAAGGGCAAATCTAATAGTTATTGGCCTTACTGAGGAGGTTGATAGATAAAGGCAGAAAATTTATTCAAAGGGAAAAGAACAGAGGTATTCCCAAGCCTAGAGAAAGATATCAATATCCGAGTACAAGAAGGTTATAGAACACCAAGGATCTTTAACCCAAGGAAAACTACGTCAACGCATTTAATAATTCAACTCCCAAAAGTCACGGACAAAGAAAGGATCCTAAAAGCATCAACAGAAAGGAAATATATAGCATGCAATGGAGCTCCAATACATCTGGCAGCAGACTTTTCAGTAGAACACTTACAGGCCAGGAGAGAGTGGCAGGACATATTGAAAGTACTGAAGGAGGAAAAAACTTTTATCCTACAAAAGAATAGCCAGCAAAAACATCCTTCAAACAAGAAAGAGAAATAAAGCCTTTCCCAAACAAAAGCTGAGAGATTTTATCAACACCAGACCTGTCCTACAAGAAATGCTAAAGCAAGTACTTCAATCTGAAAGAAAAGGACATTAATGACCAGTAAGAAATCATCTGAAGATACAAAACTCACTGGTAATAGTAAGTATAGAGAAAAACACAGACTACTAAAACACTGTAATTGTAGTATATAAACTACTCATATCTTAAGTAGAAAGACAAAAAGAAGAACTGATCACAATAATAACTATAACTTTTTAAGACCTAGTACAGTAAGATATAAATAGAAAAGACAAAGAGTTAAAAGGTGGTAAGACAAAGTTGAAGGAGAGAGTTTTTATTAGTTTTCCTTTTGCTTGCTTGTTAGTTTCTTTGTTTATGCAATCAATGTTAAGTTTTCATCGGTTTAAAATAATGGGTTATATATATTATTTGTAAGCCTCATGGTAATCTCAAATATAAAAACATACAAGAGATGCACAAAAATAAAAAAACAATCTACAAATTCAATGCAATTCCCATCAAAATACAACCATCATTCTTCACAGAACTAGAAAAAACAATTCTAAAATCCATATGAAACCAAAAAACAGCCCACATAGCCAAAGCAAGATTAAGCAAAAAGAGGAAATCTGGAGGCATCACATTACCAGATTTCAAACTATACTATAAGACCACAGTCACCAAAACAGTATGGTACTGGTATAAAAATAAGCACCTAGACCAATGGAACAGAATAGAGAACCCAGAAATAAAGCCAAATACTTACAGCCAACTGATCCTTGACAAAGCAAACAAAAATGTAAAGTGGGGAAAGGACACCCTATTCAACACATGATGCTGGGATAATTGGCAAGCCACACGTAGGAGAATAAAACTGGATCCTCATCTCTCACCTTAAACAAAAATCAACTCAAGATGGATCAAGGACTTAAATCTAAGACCTGAGACTATAAAAATTATTGAAGATAACATTGGAAAAACCCTTCTAGACATTGGCTTAGGCAAAGATTTCATGACCAAAAAAACAAATGCAAACAAAACAGAACAAAACAAAACAAAAGCAAAGATAAATAGGTGGGACTTAATTAAACTAAAGAGCTTTTGCACAGCAAAAGGAACAGTCAGCAGAGTAAACAGACAACTCACAGAGCGGGAGGAAATCTTCACAATCTATACATCTGACAAAAGACTAATATCCAGAATCTACAAGGAAGTCAAACAAATCAGTAAGAAAAAAACAAAATCCCATCAAAAAGTGGGCTAAGACGCGAATAAACAATTCTCAAAAGAAGATATACAAATGGCCAACAAACATATGAAAAAATGCTCCACATCACTAATGATTAAGGAAATGCAAATCAAAATCACAAAGTGATACCACCTTAATCCCACAAGAATAGCAATAATCAAAAAATCAAAAAATAATAGATGTTGGAATGGATGTGGTGAAAAGGGAACATTTCTACACTGCTGGTGGAAATGTAAACTAGTACAACAACTATGGGAAAGAGTGTGGAGATTCCTTAAAGAACTAAAAACAGAATTACCATTTGATCCAGTAATCCCATTATTGGGTATTCTACCCAGAGGAAAAGAAGTCATTATACGAAAAAGATACTTGCACACACATGTTTATAGCAGCACAGTTCACAACTGCAAAAATATGGAACCAGTGCAAATGCCCATCAATCAATGAGTGAATAACTAAACTATGGTATAGATATATACACACCATATATATATGTATATATGCATACACACCATATATATATATATAATGGAATACTACTCAGCCATAAAAGGGAATGAATCAATGGCATTTGCAGTAACCTGGATGGGAATGGAGACTATTATTCTAAGTGAAGCAACTCAGAAATGGAAAAACAAACATCGTATGTTCTCACTTCACATGTGGGAGCCAATATATGATGATGCAAAGGCATAAGAATGATACAATGGACTTTGGGGACTGGTTAGGGGAAGGGGGGAAGGGGGTGAGAGACAAAAGACTACAAATTGGGTTCACGGTATACTGCTCGAGTGATGGGTGCACCAAAATCTCACAAATCACCACTGAAGAATTTATTCATATAACCAAATACCACTCATTCCCCCCAAAACCTATGGAAATAACAAATAAAAAAATAAAAATAAAATACACAAAAGACACACATGAAAATAAAGGGATGGAAAAAGATATTCCATGCAAATGGAAACCAAAAAAATACAGAAGTAGCTATACTTACATAAAACAAAACAGATTTTAAGACAAAAACTATAAAAACAGACAAAGATGATCATTATACAATGACAAAGGGGTCAATTCAGCAAGAGGGTGTACAACTGTAAATACATATACACCCAATACTGGAGCACTCAGATATATGAACCAAATATTATTAGAGAGAGATAGACCCCAATACAGGAATAGCTGGAGACATCAATAACCCCCTTTCAGCACTGGACAGATCTTACAGACAGGAAATTAATAAAGAAACATCAGACTTAATCTGAACTATACACCAAATGGACCTAATCCATATTCACAGACATTTCATCCAATAGCTGCAGAATACACATTCTTCTCCTCAGCATATGGATCATTCTAAATGATACACCATATGTTTGGTCACAGAAGATTCTTAAAAAGTTCAAAAAATTGAAATAATATCAAATATCTTCTCTAACCACAGTGGAATAAAACTAAGACTCAATAACAAGAGGAATTTTGGAAACTATACAAACACATGGAAATTAAACAATATACTCTTGAATGAACAGTGGGTCAATGAAGAAATTAATTTTAAAAATTAATATTTCTTGAAACAAATGACACTGGAAACACAACATACCAAAATCTGTGGAATACAGCAAAATTAGTACTAAGAGGGAAGTTTTTAACTATAAGTGCCTACATCAAAAAAGAAGAAAAAAACTGGAAATAAATAAACTAACGATCCATTTTAAATAACTAGAAGAGTGGACCTGGAGTGGTGGCTCATGCCTGTACTCCCAGCACTTTGGGAGGCCAAGGTGGGTGGTTAACATGAGGTCAGGAGTTCAAGACCAGCCCTGGCCAACATGGTGAAACCCTGTCTCTACTAAAAATACAAAAAAATTAGCCAGGTGTGGTGGTGCACACCTGTAATCCTAGCTACTCAGGAGGCTGAGGAACGAGAATCTCTTGAACTCGGGAGGCAGAGGTTGCAGTGAGCCGAAATTGCACCACTGCACTCCAGCCTGGGCCTCAGAGCAAGACTCAGTCTCAGAAAAAAAAAAAAAAAAAAAAAAGAACTAGAAGAGCAAGAGCAAATCAAATCCAAAGTTGGTAGCAGAAAAGAAATAATAAAAATCAGAGCAGAAATAACTAATTTGAAAAGAATGATACAAAAGATCAATAAAACAAAAAGTTTTTTTTTTTGAAGACATAAACAGAACTGACAAACTTTGGCCAGACTAAGAAAAAGAGAGAGAAGACCCAAATAAATAAAATCAGCGATGAAAAAGGAAACATTACAACTGATATTGCAGAAATTCAAAGGATCATTAGAGGCTACTATGAGCAATTATATGCCAATAAGATGGAAAACCTAGAAGAAATGATTTTTTTTTTTAATGGAGTCTTGCTCTTGTCGCCCAGGCTAGAGTGCAGTGGCGTGATCTTGGCTCACTGCAACCTCCACCTCCTGGGTTCAAGCGATTCTCCTGCTTCAGCCTCTGGAGTAGCTGGGATTACAGGCAACCACCACCACGCCTGGCTAATTTTTTTTTGTATTTTTAGTAGAGATGGGGTTTCATCATGTCAGCCAGGCTGGTCTCAAACTCCTGACCTCAGATGATATGCCTGCCTCGGCCTCCCAAAGTGCTGGGATTACAGGAGTGAGTCACCACGCCTGGCCAGAAATAGATAAATTTTTAAGCAAGATTGAGCCACAAAGAAATCAAAAACCCAAACAGATCAATAACAAGTAACAAGATGAAAGTTGCAGTAAAAAGTGTCCCAGCAAAGCAAAGCCCGGGACCCAATGGCTCCACTGCTGAATTTTATCAAACATTTAAAGAAAAACTAATACTAATCCTACTAAAACTATTCTAAAAAATGGTGGGGGAGGTAATATAGCCAAACTTATTCTATGAGGCCAGTATTACCCTGATACCAAAACCAGACCAAGATATATCAAAAAAAGAAAACTACAAGCCAATATCTCTGATGAATATTGATGCATAAATCCTCAACAAAATACTAGCAAACAGAATTCAACAATACTTAAAAAGATTATTCATCATGACTAAGTGAGATTTATTCCATAGTTACAAGAATGGTTCAACATATCCAAATCAATCAATATGATACATCCTGTCAACAGAATGAATAACAAAAACCGTATGATCATTTCAACTGATGCCAAAAAAGCATTTGATGAAGTTGAATATCCCTTCATGTAAAAACCCTTTAAAAAACTGGGTATAAAAGGAACATACTTCAACATAATAAAAGCCATATACCACACACCTACAGGTAGTATCATACTGAATTGGAAAAACTGAAAGACTTTCCTCTAGGATCTGGATCATGACAAGAATGGCCATCTTCACTACTGTTGTTCAACATAGTACTGGAAGTCCTAGCTGGAGCCATTAGACAAGAGAAAGAAAGGGCATCTAAATTGGAAAGGAAGAAATCAAATTATCCTTGTTTGCAGATGATATGATTTTATATTTGGAAAAGCATAAAAACTCCACCAAAAAAACGATTAGAACTGACAAAGAAATTCACTGAAATTGCAGGATACAAAATTAACATATGAAAATCAGTAGCGTTTCTATATGCCAATAGAGAGCAATCTGACAAAGAAATTAAGAAAGTTATCACATTTATAATAGCTACAAATAAAATGGAATACCTAGGAATTACGGAAAGAAGTGAAAGATCTCTACAAGGAAAACTATAAAACAATGGTGAAATCATTGAAGAGGATACAAAAAAAATTTAAAAAATACTTCATGCTCATGGATTGGAAGAATCAATATTGTTAAAATGTTCATACTACCCAAAGCAATTTACAGATTCAATGCAATCTTAATCAACCTACCAATGACATTGTTCACAGAAATAGAAAAAATAGTCCTAATAGATACACGGAATCACAAAAGAGCAGAAAACCAAAGTTATTGTGAGCAAAAAGAATAAAACTGGAGGAATCACATTACCTGACTTCAAATTGTACTACAGAGCTATAGTTACCCAAACAGCATGAAACTGGCATAAAAACAGATACATAGAGCAATGGAACAGAATCCAGAATCCAGAAACAAATCCATACATCTACAATGAACTCATTTTCAACAAAGGTGCTGAGAACATACACTGGGGGAAAGACAGTCTTTTCAATAAATGGTGTTGGGAAAACTGGATATTCATATGCAGAAGAATGAAACAATTCCTATCTCTTGCTATATACAAAAATCAAATCAAAATGGATTAAAGACTTAAATCCAAGACCTCAAACTATTAAACTACTAAAAGAAAACATTGGAGAAACTCTCCAGGACATTAACAGTGGGTAAAGATTTCTTGAGTGATACCCCACAGCCAAGCAAAAATGGACAAATAGGATCACGCCAAGCTGAAAAGCTTCGGCACAGCAAAGGAAGCAATCCACAAAGTGAAGAGACAGCCCACAGAATGGGAGAAAATATTTGCAAGCTATTCATCTGACAAGGGATTAATAACCAGAATATATGAGGAATTCAAACAATTCTGTAGGAAAATGGAAACATTTAATAATCTTATTTTAAAATGGGCAAAATATCTGAATAGACTTTTTTCTTTTCTTGGAGACAGAGTTTTGCTCTTGTTGCCCAGGCTGGAGTACAATGGCGTGATCTCAGCTGACTACAACCTCTGCCTCCCAGGTTCAAGCAATTCTCCAGTGTCAGCCTCCCAAGCAGCTGGGATTACAGGCATGCACCACCACATCCAGCTAAATTTTTGTATTTTTAGTAGATACAGGGTTTCACCATGTTGGCCAGACTGGTCTCGAACTCCTGACCTCAGGTGATCCATCCGTCTCAGCCTCCCAAAGTGCTGGGAATACAGGCATGAGCCACTGCACCCGGCCCTGAATAGACATTTTTCAAAAGAAGATACATAAATGGTAAACACATATAAAAGGCGCTCAACATCATTCATTATCAAAGAAATGCAAGTCAAAACTACAATGAAATATTATCTCACCCCAGTTACAATGGTTTATCCAAAAGACAAGCAACTGTGAAAGCTGGTGAGGATGTGGATAAAAGGGAACCCTTGTATGCCATTGGTGGGAATGTAAATTAGTATAACCATTATGGAGAACAGTGTAGAGGTTCTTTAAAAACTAAAAATAGAGCTACCATATGATCCAGCAATCCCACTGCTAGGTACATACCCAAAAGAAAGGAAATCGGTATATTGAAGAGATATCTGCACTCCCATGTTTATTGTAGCACTATTCACAATAGCCAAGATTTGGAAGCAACCTAAGTGTCCATCAACAAATGAATGGATAAAGAAAACATGATATATATACACAAGGGAGTACTATTCAGTCATGAAGAAGAAGGAGATCCTGTCATTTGCGACAACATGGATGGAACTGGAGGTCATTATGTTGAGTGAAATAAGCAAGGCACAGAAAGAAGAATACCAAATGTTCTCACTTATTTGTGGGAGCTAAAAAATTAAAACAGTATAACTCATGGAAATACAGAGTAGAATGATGGCTACCAGAAGCTGGGAAGGGTAGGGGGGTGGTGGGGGGAATTGCGGATGGTTAACGGGTACAAAAATTGTTAGAAAGAATGAATAATATCTAGTATTTGATAGCACAACAGGATGACTGTAGTCAATAATTATTTAACTGTACATTTTAAAGTAACTAAAATAATATAACTGGATTGTTTATAACACAAAGGATAAATGCTTGAGGTAACAGATACCCCATTTACCCTGAGGTGATTATTACACATTGCATGTGCCTGTATCAAAATATCCCATATACCTCATGAATATATATACCTACTATGTACCCACAAAAATTTAAAATTAAAGAACTCACACTCTGGTGAGGCTAACAGATAAGTGGGCCATCAACTACCATACAGTGTGATAGAAGCTGCAGTAGAGAGAAGCATAGGGTTCCCAGGGAATGTGAAAGAGGGTTAGCTAACTCAACAAGAGTGTCTGGAGAGGCAGCCCGCAGAGGTGTCTGAGCTGACAATCTGATGTGCTATATATCTTCTTCCCAGAACAATCCAAATACACTACATTTTGCATATACTTTTATAATTGGATTCCAGGCTGCAAAATCCTGCACTAGTAATAAAATACATCTTGCTGCAGTACTTGGAAAATCATCAAAAGGGTTTTTAAAAGGAGGCTGACAATAAGAGATTCATATTTAGAAATATCTCTGGAGCAGCCTATATTATATGCTCAATAAATATTTATTAAATGAAAGAGTGAATTAATCTCCAAAACTAAATGATAAATAGTTAAATCGATACTTCATGCCTTGTCTCCACTTTCAAAATTTTAATGTGCAAATGAATTCTATAGGCATTGGTGCAAGTGGAGAAGAGCATTCCTGGACTACCTGAAGTCACAGTCATATGGCAGCACAATGTATCAAAGATTAATGCATCAAACGTCGATGAGTCTTTTTACGTATGTATGTGAGTAGTTTAACGAGTATGGATACACTTCTTCCACTGGTTCTGCTTAGAGGAAAGCTTAGATGACTTTGTGATGGAATGAAATAAAAGAAAATAAATAACCTGTATTGGAGGCAGTTTAGTTATTGATATCTAGTTAATAATATAAGGTACACCTGGCAGCATGCACTTTGCTTACCTGAGGCATTTGATCTTACTATGTATATCAGACAGTATAAGTTATGCTGTGTAACAAAACACTCCAAATCTCAGTGGCTTAACACAATTAAGGTTTCTTTCTCCTTCATGTGATATATCCAATGTGTGACAATAGGGTGGACCCAGGCTTACTGAAGCTCCATCTCAGCTCATGCTTACCACTTTAGAAAAAGGAAGAGAATGAGGTGAATTGTGCACTGGTTCTTAAAATTTCTCTTGCAAAATACACGCATATCTTCTGCTTGCATTTCATTGGCAATGAGATAAGTCGTATGGTCTTATACAATGTACCTGAGAACTGTGATCCCAACATGTGGCAGGAAGCAGGGAGAACCAGAGTATTTGTTGAAAATCACTGATGACATCACAGTCCACCTTTCTAGTCACCAAATATTTGGTTCCCTCTCCCACCTGCACTTAAAATACACTCTTCCCGAGGGAGACAACCCAAAAGTCTCCTCTTCAGTATTAAACTTAAATTCTAGCTCCCCTAGGAGATGTGTGGTATTCTCTGCATCGTGGGCTGACACCCCATTATGTCTACATAACGTCTGGATGGCACGCCTTTTGCTCCAAGTCCAACAAGCTAAAAAGACAAGTTATCAGCCCTCAATATATCATACAGTAGTGGATCAGGGTAGGATACGTGCCCTAAATGCTGCCATTTGGAAGTCAGGGTCTGTAGCAATTCTAAAGCCCTCTTGGGCCAACCTTAGAAGGACTTCCTACACTGAAGAGGGATAAATTCCTTTATTAGGCTCCAATTCTGCCCCCTCCACCACAAGGGATTCCTCAATCCACCTATCTCCACAGCCCTTGCATGTACCTTTTGTAAGATTCTTCTTTTTCTGATATCGTGTTTGGCCTCATCAGAAGTGGGAATTAATGAATATCTTCTTTAGAGGTTAGAAAGATATCTTAGCCCACTTCCTACACAGAAAGTTGGGGCTAAGGCTTGTGTAAAATTCTGTGCAGTCAGCTTCTTTTTTTTCTAAGCTAGTGATCCCTTTAGCAGTTTAACTCTCTCAAAAATTCAATAATCTTCTCATCTGATTCCAGTCAGTTCTATATGCCAATAGTCACATCTACAGTTCTTTTCTAGATGTAATTGTATCATTTAATTTTTAGATATAATTCATAAAACATACAATGCATCTATTTAGAGTGTACAATTCAGTGGTTTTTAGCACAGCCATGTGCCACATAATGCTGTCAGCCAACAACAGACCACATATATGACAGTAGTCCCATAAGATTATAATGGAGCTGAAAAATGACTATTGCCTGGTGTCATCATAGCTGTCATGAAGTCTTGGCACAACGCATTACTCACATATTTGTGGCGATGCTTGTATAAACAAACCTACTGAGCTTCCAGTTGTATTAAAGTTTAGCATATAAAATACGTAAGACTTAATAAATGCTATGTCACTGGCTTATGCACTTACTATACTATACTTTTTCATTGTTTTAGAGTCTGCTTCTACTTATGAAAATAAAAAGCTAACTGCAAAATAGCCTCAGCCAGGTCTTTCCGGTGGTCTTCCAGAGGAAGTTATTGTTACCATAGGTGTAACAGCTCTATGTGTTACTGTCCCTGAAGACCCTCCAGTAAGACAAGATGTGGAGGTGTAAGACCAGTGATACTTATGATCCTTACCATATGTAGGCCTACATTAATGTGTTTGTGTCTTTGTTTTCAACAAAAAAGTATAAAAAGTAAAACAAAATTAAAACATTTAAAAATAGAGAAAAGCTTACCGAATGTAGGTATAAAGAAAGAAGGCTGGGCAAGGAGGCTCATGCCTGTAATCCCAGCACGTTGGGAGGCTGAGACGGGCAGATCACGAGGTCAGGAGATCAAGACCATCCTGGCTAACACAGAGAAACCCCATCTCTACTAAAAATACAAAAAATTAGCCAGACATAGTGGTGGGCACCTGTACTCCCAGCTACTCGGGAGGCTGAGGCAGGAGAATGGTGTGAACTCAGAAGGCGGAGTTTGCAGTGAGCTGAGATAGCGCCACTGCACTCCAGCCTGGGCGACAGAGCGAGACTTCGTCTCAAAAAAAAAAAGAAAGAAAGAAAGAAGATATTTTTGTATTGCTGTACAATGTGTTTGTGTTTTAAGCTAAATTGTATTATAAAAGAGTCAAAAGTTAAAAAATTTTAAAGTTTAGGCCGGGTGTGGTGGCTTACGCCTGTAATCCCAGCACTTGGGGAGGTCGAGGTGGGTGGATCATGAGGTCAGGAGATCGAGACCACCCCAGCCAGCATGGTGAAACCCTGTCTCTACTAAAAATACAAAAATTAGCTGGGCATGGTGGCATGTGCCTGTAATCCCAGCTACTTGGGAGGCTGTGACAGGAGAATTGCTTGAACCAGGGAGTTGGAGGTTGCAGTGAGCCAAAATTGCACCACTGCGCTCCAGCCTGGTGACAGAGCAAGACTCTGTCTCAAGAAAAAAAAAATTAAAGTTTATATAGTAAAACTGTTACAGAAAGTTAATTTGTTATTGAAGTAAAAGAGTTTTTAAATAAATTTAATGTAGCCTAAGTGTACAGTGTTTGTAAAGTCTACAGTAGTGTACAGTAATGTCCTAGGACTTCACAATCACTCACCACACACTGACTGACTTACCAAGAGCAACTTCCAGTCCTGCAACCTCCAACATGGTAAGTGCCTGATATGGTTTGGCTGTGTCCTTACTCAAATCTCATTTTGATTTGTAGTTCCCATAATCCCCACGTCATGGGACTCAGTTAAAGGTAATTGAATCATGGGGGTGATTTCCCCCATGCTATTCTCATGATAGTGAGTAACTTCTTATGAGATCCGATGGTTTTATAAGGGGTTTCTTCCTTTGTTCAGCTCTCATTCTTCCCCTTCCTGCTGTCATGTGAAGAAGGACATGTCTGCTTTCCCTTCCACCATGATTGTAAGTTTCCTGAGGCCTCCACTGATCTGCAGAACTGTGAGTCAATTAAACCTATTTTCTTTAGAAGTTACCCAGTCTCAGGCAGTTCTTTTTAGCAGCATGAGAATGGACTAATACGATGTCCCATATAGATGCGCCATTTTAAATCTTTTATACTGTATTTTCATTGTAACATTTCTATGTTTAGATATGTTTAGATACACAAATACTTACCACTGTGTTATAATTGCCTACAGTATTCAGTACAGTAACTTGCTGTACAGATTTGTAGTAGCCTAGGAGCAATAGGCTATGTGATATAGTGTAGGTGTGTGGTAGGGAATACAATCCGGGTTTGTGTAGTTACAGTGTATGATGTCCCCAAAAGACCAAATCACCTAATGACATATTTCTCAGAACATATCCCCATTGCTAAGTGATACGTGACTATATAATTGTGTAACTATCACCACCAATTACAGAACCTTTTTGTCACCCCAAAAAGAAACAGCATATCCACTAGCAACCACTCTCCATTTCTCCCCACCTTCTCCCACCTCACCCCATTCTATCCCCAGTCCTAGGCAACCACCAATCTGCTTCCTGTTATGGATTTGCCTATTCCAGACATGTCATATAAAGTGAATCATACAATACTGCATATGGCCTTTGTGACTGGCTTCTTTCACTTAGTCACAATGTTTTTAAGGTTCATCCGTGTTGTAGCACATATCTGTACTTAATATTTTTTACTGTCAAATAATATTCCATTGTATACATATACCACATTATATTTATCCATCAGTTCATGGATGCTTGGGTTCTTTCTACATTTTGGCTATTATAAATAATGCTGCTATAAATACTTGTGTACAAGTTTTTGTATGAACATACGTTTTCATTTCTCTTTGCAATTTGCTATATTTCTTTGCTTTATATATGCCTCTTCCTCTCCCTCTCTCAGTTGCAGTTACTTTGGGAATGTCTTTGGTAGGAGGGCTGCATCTTTAGTTTTTTACCCTGAACTATTTCAGCCGATTAAAAAGATATCACAGGTACTATCTTAATCCATATGGAAGTTTTAACAATATGTCCACTGGCTTTACCTTGATTTGATCCTTGCTTCAGCAATAAGTTTTTTTTTTTTTTTTGAGATGGAGTCTAACTCTGTCGCCCAGGCTGGAGTGCAGTGGCGTGATCTTGGCTCACTGCAAGATCCTCCTCCCAGGTTCATGCCATTCTCCTGCCTCAGCCTCCCGAGTAGCTGGGGTTACAGGTGCCCGCCACCACACCTGGGTAATTTTTTGTGTTTTTTAGTAGAGACGGGGTTTCACTGTGGTCTCAATCTCCCAACCTCATGATCCACCCACTTCGGACTCCCAAAGTGCTGGGATTACAGGCATGAGCCACCATGCCCAGCCAGCAATAAGTTTTAATCAGACTTTGTAATCAGGGCATTTCTTAATGCTATTTTTCATTGCTTGGGGCTCAGAAATGGTTGCCTTTTGCAACCCTATAAAATTCCAAGTTTGTGGACATTTTCTATTCTCTTTCCTGCTTTTAAATTAGCCAATTCTTTTCTGAGTCCATCTATTTCTTATATTACCTTGCCAAACATAGTCATCAGCAGCCAGTACAGGCTACCAACATTCTATTTTTCAACCTCTTCTTCTAAGGCTACAAATTTATGAGGAACATGATGTGTCCTCCAAGTTTTACCAAATGTTTGGCCACTGTGTAATAATGGATATACATCTTTTCATCCTCCAATAACAGTTTTCTGCCACATGCTGCCAGCTCCTAAGCCAGTACTTCATTTTATGGAAATTTAACTAAAACAGAATTTTATGTGACATACAGAGTAGGCTTAGTTATGCTATGATAAAACAAAACAAAACAAAACAAAACAAAAACAAATAAAACACCTCAGAAACTCAACATCTTAATTTTACAAAAGCTTATTTCTTGCTTATGCTCCATGTCTAGTGCAATTCATCAAGGTAATATGAAAGTAAAAATTAGCTCAGATTATAAAAATCTGCCCTACTGTTCTTCAGATTGGAATAAAAAAACACAGATAAAACCAGCTGCAAAGTTAACAGGAAACAATATTTTCACCCAAGGACACACTGAAGCTGTCATAACAACCCCCTTCTTTAAGTGTCTACTATTTTCTTAGGCACTGAGAAACTTTGTTCTCTAAAATCTGAGACTTTCAGAAATTTAAATGATTTGATTAAAATTGTTGTTTGAAAGTATATCAGTAAAAATGAAACAATCCATGCTGCCTTGGAGACCTAAGTTACTCTGACACATAGAAATAGTCGCCATTTACAACCCAGGTGCAGAGCTTCAGATAAGGGGTTTCTGCACACAAAATTCCACATCTATCTTAACTTTCTTTTCTTCCAAGGAAACAAAACCCTGGGTCTAGTTTGCAGATTGGATGTGATGTTGACCACTTTACACAGCCCTGTTTTTCTTTGAGCCTACAAAAACACTCCTGCATTGAAATTCACCTAAATTCTACTCTTCTTCCCAATTCTATCTATCCTAACTCTATCTTGCCCTTTGGTGAGATGCTTCATGGTTCCTCTAGTATGTGTGTCTCCCTTATTGCAGTGGGTCAATATATCTGATTTTGCCTGACAAAAGGTTCATTTTTAGTGGTTTTGGCCTGAACAAACTCAGACAGACTGAACTCATTATAAACTTTTGATGTCAGAAGTTCTGTATTCTATATAATAAAATAATTATAGGTTCTTTTCAGGCTCTGCCTTGACCCTAAACTATTTTAGCTTGAAACTAGCTGGCCCATATAACATGAATTCTCACTCACAAAGGCAATCGTGTTTAGAAATAACAATGGCTGAAAGATGAAGTCTTAAATGCTTCAGGGCAACTTGGGTACCAGGCCATCTCTAAAAATCCCATTGGTGCATGGCCAAGCTGCCCAGTGAGCCCTTTCCTGTCTCCATATCTTTAAGACACCAAGACCCTGGATAGAGCAAATCCTGCACTGTGTCCCAGGTAGCTGCCATCTCTCAATTATATTTGAAGAATAACATAGAAGGAAAGGAATTATAAATATGCAATCCTTTCCTCACTCACCCGTCCATCAATGTGGTTGTTCCTAGAGAATAAACAAGGAGCTCAGAAGTGAGTATCAGCAGTTTTCTCAAGAAGCCTTAGAGTTAGAGTCAGGGAGATACAAAGAGAAAAGGGTAGGATATCAGCCTTTGTTACAACAAGAAACTGACATGGGCAGGAAAGGAAATGACAAGGAGGAAGCCTTATCACTCCTTGGTCTGAAAAGGCAAAGGGAGGGAAAAGTAGAGCCTGGTGAACATTGGAGATGTGGAAGGGGGATTGCCTGACAGGAGCCATAAGTGCAGAGGAATGAAGCTATTGCCAGGGTGGTAAGGAGGCAAGCACTGGGAGTAGGGGAGCAGGGAGAAGACAGGAGAATAAATATCTCAACCTCTTTGCTTTCACCCTCCAATCAAACCTTTGATTCCTTCCATTGGCCAAACCCAACTGGACTCCAAAAGGTAGGGGAGCCCAGGAGATGCACTGTTGAAAATTATTCTCTGGAATCATAGTTCAAGGTGGAAAAGATAACATAATGGACTAAGGTTGGGAGTAGGGCAAATGGAGACTAATCAGCACAGGTGGGTTGAGGAGAAAAAGGGGAAGGTTGATGAGCAAATGTACAAGACAGGAGCTGTCATCCACAGCTGACTTTTACATGGATGCAACTTCCGTCAGTCTAGGATGGTACTTTTCTGGTTCATCAGATCATGGATGGACAGTCTTAATTTTTTGTAGGACTAATGCATTCTAAAGCTTTCTTACAGTTGGAGGTGAGCTCCATTTTTCCTTATTGCCCAAAATCTTCTCAGTGAATCAGGTGCTAGAGCTGAACAACATGTCACCAGGAATCTAACATCTTTTTTAAAAAATTGATATGTAACTCACATAACGTAGATTCATTCTTTTAAAGTATATAATTATGTAATTTTTAGCAAATTCTTAAGGTTGTACAACCATTACCACTATCTAATTTTAGAGCATTTATCACCTTAAAAAGAAAACTCATACCCATTAGCAGTCACTTCCCATGCCTTTCTTTCCCCAGCCCTAGGCAAACACTAATCTAGTTCCTGTCTCTATAAATTTGCCTATTCTGACATTTTGCATCAGTGAAATTATACAATATGTGGCCCTTTGTTACTGGCTTCTTTCACTTAGCCTAACGTTTTTAAGGTCCATCTATGTTATAGCATATCTCAATACTTCACTCCTTTTTAAGGCTGAATAATATTCTTTGTATGGATATACTATATTTTGTTCATCCATTCATCAGCTAGTAAATATTTGGGTAGTTTCTATTTTTTATCTATTACAAATAATGCTGCTGTGAATATCCATGTACAATTTTCCATGTGCCATATGGGACATACACCTAAAAGTGGAATTGCTGGGTCATATGGCACTCTATTTTTAACTTTTTTAGGAGTTCTCAACAAGACACCCACCTGCTCCTTCAACATTTATTCTCCAAAGGATATCGGGTATCCCCCTCCAAAGCTCAAATTTCTTCTCCATCCATTACCTACTTCAGCATAATTCTTCATAAAAACACATGTGCTCTCCTGCCGATTGTTTCTGACTGATCTCCCAAATCCCAACACCTTCTACACAACAACAACTCCTTTCCTTCCTAAGCATGTTTGGATACTTTCACCTTTGGATACCTGGTTTTGCCATCCTAACAATACCATTATATAAACTCACAAAAGGAAACCTAGCTGACTCCATAGATCTTAAATCCTTTCCCCACTCCTCTTTCCATTCCTTGAAGACAGGTTTAGAGACTGCCCCCACACTAGCTCTCCCTGACTCATCCCAACCCTTTTCATTACATACAGCTGAAGTGCAAGGCTGTGCAGTTGGAATTCTTACACAAGGACCAGGACTGCACCCTGTAGCCCTTTTGTCCAAACAACTTGACCATACTGTTTTAGGCTGGCCATCATGTCTCCATGCAGTGGCTGCTGCCTCCCTAATATTTTAGAGGCCCTCAAAATCACAAACTATGTTCAACTCACTCTCTACAGCTCTCATAACTTCCAAAATCTATTTTCTTCCTCATACCTGACATACTTTCTGCTCCCTGGCTCCTCCAGCTATACTCAGTCTTTGTTGAGTCTCCCACAGTTACCATTGTTCCTGGCCTGGACTTCAATCTGGCCTCCCACGTTATTCCAGATACCACACCTGACCCGCATGACTGTATCTCTCTGATCCACCTAACATTCACCCCATTTCCCCATATTTTCTTCTTTCCTGTTCCTCACCCTGATCACATTTGGTTTATTGATGGCAGTTCCACCAGGCCTAATCACTACTCACCAGCAAAGGTAGGCTATGCTATAGTATCTTCCACATCTATCATTGAGGCCACTGCTCTGCCCCCCTCCGCTACCTCTCAGCAAGCCGAACTCTTTGCCTTAACTCGGGCCCTCACTCTTGCAAAGGGACTAGGTGTCAATATTTATACTGACTCTAAATAGGCCTTCCATATCCTGCACCACCATGCTGTTATATGGGCAGAAAGAGGTTTCCTCACTACACAAGGGTCCTCTATCATTAACGCCTCTTTAATAAAAACTCTTCTCAAGGCCGCTTTACTTCCAAAGGAAGCTGGAGTCATTCACTGCAAGGGCCATCAAAAGGCATCAGATCCCATTGCTCTAGGCAATGCTTATGCTGATAATGTGGCTAAAGAAGCATCTAGTGTTCCAACTTCTGTCCCTCACAGTCAGTTTTCCTCCTTCTCATTGGTCACTCCCACCTACTTCTCTGCTGAAACTTCCTCCTATTAATCTCTTCCCACACAAGGCAAATGGTTCTTAGACCAAGGAAAATATCTGCTTCCAGCCTCACAGGACCATTCTGCTCTGTCATCATTTCATAACCTCTTCCATGTAGGTTACAAGCTGCTAGCCCATCTCTTAGACCCTCTCATTTCCTTTCCATCATGGAAATCTATCCTCAAGGAAATAACTTCTCAGTGCTCCACCTGCTATTCTACTACCCCTCAGGGATTGTTCAGGCCTCCTCCCTTTCCTACACATCAAGCTCAGGGATTTGCCCCTGCCCAGGACTGGCAAATTGACTTTACTCACATGCCCCGAGTCAAAAAACTAAAATGCCTCTTGGTCTGGGTAGACACTTTCACTGGATGGGTAGAGGCCTTTCCCACAAGGTCAGAGAAGGCAACCACGGTCACTTATTCCCTTCTGTCAGACATAGTTCCTCAGTTTGGCCTTCCCACCTCTATACAGTCCAATAACAGACTGGCCTTTACTAGTCAAATCACCCAAGCAGTTTCTCAGGCTCTTGGTATTCAGTGGAACCTTCATATCCCTTACCGTCCTTGACCTTCAGGAAAGGAACAAAGGACTAATGGTTTTTTTTAAAAATGCACCTCACCAAGCTCAGCCTCCAACTTAAAAAGGACTGGTTAGTACTTTTACCTCTTGCCCTTCTCAGAATTACAGCCTGTCCTCAAGATGCTACAGGATACAGTCCATCTGAACTTTTTTATGGACGCACTTTCTTGCTCGGCCCCAACCTCATCCCAGACACCAGCCCTCTAGGCAACTATCTTCCAGTCCTCAAGCACGCTAGACAGGAAATTCACCAGGCTGCTAATCTTCTCTTGCCTACTCCAGATTCCCAGCCATATGAAGACACCCTAGCTGGACGATCAGTTCTTGTTAAGAATCTGACCCCTCAAACTCTGCAACCTCCATGGACTGGACCCTACTTAGTCATCTATAGTACCCCAATTGCTATCTGCCTGCAGGATCCTACCCACTGGGTTCACCATTCCAGAATAAAGCTGTGTCCATCAGACAGACAGCCTAATCTCTCCTCTTCCTCCTGGAAGTCTCAAGTACTCTCCCCTACTTCCCTTAAACTCACTCGCATTTCTGAAGAACAGTAATAGCACTTATGAGCCTAATACATCCCTTCATTCCATTAGGTCTGTTCATCCTTACCCTACTTTTTGCAACAGGGCTTTACGCAGTCACCCCCACTACTTGGACTGAGCCCCCCGAAAACCTAGTCATCCCTACTATCTTCTTTCTAGTCATACTCCTATTCATTGTTCTCAACTACTCATAAATGCCCTACTCTTGTTTACACTGCTGGTTTACACTGTTTCTCCAAGCCATCGCAGCTGATATCTCCTGGTGCTATCCCCAAACCACCACTCTTAACTCCCTCTTAGGGTGGATAGGTGATCTTTGCTGGCAGGGCACCCTCCAATACTTTCACCCTGATGAAGTTCTATTCTTTACTTTTATACTCACTCTTATTCTCATTCTCATTCTTATGTCACCCTCTACCTCTCCCCAGCCATTTTTAATCCCTCCTTCGTGAACAATTGCTGGCTTTGCATTTCCCTTTCTTCCAGCCCCTACACAGCTGTCCCTGCCTTACATACAGACTGGGCAACATCTCCTGTCTCCCTACACCTCTGAACTTCTTTAACAGCCCTCACCTTTACCCTCCTGAAGAACTTCTTTACTTTCTAGACAGGTCCAGCAAGACCTCTCCAGACATTTCACATCAGCAAGCTGCCACCCTCCTCTGCACATACTTAAAAAACCTTTCTTCTTATATCAACTCTACTCCCCCCATATTTGGACCCCTCACACCAAAAACTACTATTCCTGTGGCTGCTCCTTTATGTATTTCTCAGCAAAGACCCACTGGCATTCCCCTAGGTAACCTTTCACCTTCTCGATGTTCCTTCACTCTTCATCTCCAAAGCCCAACTACACACATCACTGAAACAATTGGAGCCTTCCAGCTCCGTATTACAGACAAGCCCTCTATCAATACTGGCAAACTTAAAAACATTAGCAGTAATTATTGCTTAAGAAGACACTTACCTTGTATTTCACTCCATCCTTGGCTACCTTCCCCTTGCTCATCAGACCCTGCTCCCAGGTCCTCTTCTTGTTTACTTATACCCAGCCCCATAAATAACAGTGAAAATTTGCTTGTAGACACTCAACATTTTCTCATACACCATGAAAATCGAACCTCCCCCTCTACACAGTTACCCCATCAGTCCCCATTACAACCTCTGATGGCTGCCGCCCTAGCTGGATCCCTAGGAGTCTGGGTACAAGACACCTCTTTCAGCACTCCTTCTCACCTTTTTACTTTGCATCTCCAGTTTTGCCTCGCACAAGATCTCTTCTTCCTCTCTGGATCCTCTACCTACATGTGTCTACCTGCTAATTGGACAGCCACATGCACACTAGTTTTCCTTACTCCCAAAATTCAATTTGCAAATGGGACCGAAGAGCTCCCTGTTCCCCTCATAACACTGACATGACAAAAAAGAGTTATGCCACTAATTCCCTTGCTTGTCAGTTTAGGACTTTCTGCCTACATTATTGCTCTCAGTACTGGAATAGCAGGCATTTCAACCTCTGTCATGACCTTCCGTAGCCTCTCTAATGACTTCTCTGCTAGCATCACAGACATATCACAAACTTTGTCAGTCCTCCAGGCCCAAGTTGACTCTTTAGCTGCAGTTGTCCTCCAAAACGGCTGAGGCCTTGACTTACTCACTGCTGAAAAAGGAGGACTCTGTATATTCTTAAATGAAGGTGTTGTTTTTACCTAAATCAATCTGGCCTGGTGTATGATGACATAAAAAAACTCAATGATAGAGCCCAAAAACTCACCAACCAAGCAAGTAATTATGCTGAACCCCCTTGGGCACTCTCTAATTGGATGTCCTGGGTCCTCCCAATTCTTAGTCCTTTAATACCTGTTTTTCTCCTTCTTTTAATTGGACCTTGTATCTTCCATTTAGTTTCCCAATTCATCCAAAACCATTCCAGGCCATCACCTATCATTCTATATGACAAATGCTCCTTCTAACAACCCCACAATATCACCCCTTACCACAAAATCCTCCTTCAACTTGACCTCTCTGACTCTAGGTTCCCATGCCATGCCTGATCCTGCTTGAAGCAGCCCTGAGAAACATCGCCCATTATCTCTCCATACTACCCCAACACTTCAATATTATTTTATGCTATTTTTCTTATTAATATAAGAAGGCAGGAATGTCAGGCCTCTGAGCCCAAGTTAAGCCATTGTATCCTCTGTGACCTGCATGTGTACGTCCAGATGGCCTGAAGCAAGTGAAGAATCACAAAAGAAGTGAAAATAGCCAGTCCCTGCCTTAACTGATGACATTACCTTGTGAAATTCCTTCTCCTGGCTCATCCTGGCTCAAAAGCTCCCCCACTGAGCACCTTGTGACCCCCACCCCTGCCCACCAGAGAGCAACCCCCTTTGACTGTAATTTTCCACTACCCACCCAAATCCTATAAAGCGGCCCCACCCCTATCTCCCTTCACTGACTCTCTTTTCGGACTCAGCCCACTGGCACCCAGGTGAAATAAACAGCCTTGTTGTTCACACAAAGCCTGTTTGGTGGTCTCTTCACACAGACGTGACGCAAGTGAAAGATCTACCATGTGATGACCATGTTAACATGTTCCATCAGGCTGAGAGTGGTGAGTGGATACTAGAAAGCTTTGAAAATATTCTTCAAAACTGGCGTGCAAAGTGGGTAATGGAGAGGTGAAGTCCATGGATGGAAAAAATATGCCTTGACAAGCAAAATAGAGGTAGTGAGAATAGAAGCACAGGCTGTAAAGAAGAACAGTACATCACTGGTGAACTACAAATGTTAGAATGGTATAGGAGCAGACCTGATGAAAATGAAGTTGACTTGAGTGAGTCCCAGGGTATCAGAAGTGGGTACAGCTATTCCTTAGTTACTGACCAAGTAGTGCTTCTTTGTCCTTCTTTCCACGATAGCCCTCAGGCATTGCTATGCATGGAATTCTTGGGTGATAGCAGCAGAAAAGAGGGCTGTTTGGACCCAGGAAGGAATCATCTTTTGGCTTTAAAGAAGTTGCCAAGGATTGATTCTGTCTTGATCTCTCTTTTAATTAATGTTTGTTTAATGCTGGAAGTTTTTTTTTTTTTTTTTAAAGGAACTAGCAATGGATTAGCACATTGAGTATTAGAGATAATTTCTGATAACTAATAGTAATAATGGTTAGCAGGCCAAGGAGATTTGTGCAGTAATTGCTAATCTGTTTTATAAGTTTTTCTCAATAATTATAATTAAATGTGTGATCCAAATAAACTTTGAATCTGATCACATTATGTATTTTTTTGTGTGTAGAAATTTTACTATAGAAAATTAAGAAATGATCCCTAGCCCCAAAATATCAGTTTCCATACTTGTGAGATTAGAATATTGCATAACTTGAAGCCTGTAATATTATTCAGCCAATTCCCTTACTTTAGCATATTAATGACATTGTTCATTTTAATTCTTAAAGAGGATCAAACGGAAAAACAATAAAAAACTCAAACTTGTTTTTAGAGTGGACTTTTATCACTGCCTGCCAGTTTCTCAATTTCTGGAATAATGTGTTGCTTAAATAAATTGGCCATAGGAAAACAAGGCTTATTCATCCTGGTAGAGAGCAGAGGTAGAATTTAGAAACAGCTTTTCTAGAACTTCATTAGTCATTCTCTTTAATTCTTCCTGTCAATTGTGTAAGGCTGTTTTGGCATCACTCTTAATAAGAATAAGAATTCTTCAACCTCTCTAGGAAGCTTTAAACGTTCAGAAAACAAACAATGCCTCAGAAGCTTCAACTGGTGAATGTGAATAGAGAGTGCAAACCATAATCCTTCAAGAAGGTTTAAGCAAATTTATTGTTAACGTTCCCCGCTATTCCTAGAAAACTCTGATTTCTAAGGTAAAGATGTTTTCAGAAAAAAATTTACTGGTTTCATGCATTTTTTTTTTTTTTTTTTTTTTTTTTTGAGATGGAGTCTTGCTCTGTCGTCCAGACTGGAGTGCAGTGAGGCGAAATCAGCTCACTATAAGCTCCGCCTCCCGGGTTCACTCCATTCTCCTGCCTCAGCCTTATGCAATTTTAATAAATAACCCCAGGGTTATTTTAATACATAAATTTTAATAAATAACCTCAGGATCATTTATTAAAATGCTATAACTCTTCTATGGTGAAATTAAATATCTATATGATAA
The DNA here is from genome assembly GCF_000001405.40 of Homo sapiens. Lineage (NCBI taxonomy): Eukaryota > Metazoa > Chordata > Mammalia > Primates > Hominidae > Homo > Homo sapiens. Next base: position 46,319,684 of record NC_000012.12, on the reverse strand, counting down.
AAAATTAGAATTGTTCTGCCAGAAGCCAGTTGTGTTTTTCTTTTTCTTTTTAACAGCTTCATTTAGATATAATTCATATACCATAAAAATTCATACTTATAAAGTGTACAATTCTGTGGATTTTAGTATATTCACAGAGTTTAATATACTCAATATAAATATGCACATATTTATATATAAATATATTTAATTATATGGATATACCACATTTTATTTATTTATAATGTACAGGTGATGGACATTTGGGTTGTTTCCACTTTTTTGTCTTTATGAATAATGGTGCTGTGAAAATTCTTGGGCAAGTCTTTGGACATATGTTTTCAATCCCAGTCATGTTTTAAATGCACATGTGCATAGGTTGTTGATATGCTTTTTTTCTTCTCTGTGCCTTCAGAAGTGAGAAAGATACTTTCATAATCATTTACACTCTCATATGCTGTCTTTGAGCCTGAATAAAGAAGAGAGAAGGTACTGGGGATGGGGGCAGGTGAAAGGAAGAGGGGTTTGAAACCCCAAACACACTTTTTCTGATGTAGAATCAAGGGTGAGTTCACCACAATTGTCTTATAATGGCACATTTCTTCTTTTTTCTGTGAAAAAAATGTAAGTAAGCAAACTAAAAATACACACACACACCCATATGAATATATATAGTATACATATATAATGTATGTATATATAATCTATATTATATATAATATACATATTATATATATAATATATATAATATACATATTATATATATATTATATATATAATATACATATTATATATATATTATATATATAATATACATATTATATGTATATTATATATATAATATACATATTATATATATTATATATATAATATACATATTATATATAATATATATATAATATACATATTATATATTATATATATAATATACATATTATATATTTTATATATAATATACATATTATATATTTTATATATATATATATATAATACATAAGTGTGTATATGTATATGTGTATGTACAGGCTTTATCCAAAAAGCAAATAAAAAGTAATTGGTAAAGAAGATTTTCATATCTATACATTAATGTTTTTTTTAAAGTATCTCTTTTGAATATCTAATTTCTAGGCCTTTTTGAGAAAACCAACTTTATACAACTAGGTCTTGAAAGGTTTTATTTTACCCTTATTTTAAGAAACCATATACCCACTCAGGCCCAGTTTTATAGGATAAACTCAAGTGAAATAAAGATACTTTCTACTTGCTTATTTTGTAAATTTAATTGCTAAATTGTTTTTGCTTTTATAAAGCCTATTACAAAATTCTTGTTCTGTTGCTTTTGTCTATAGTCAATAGAACAATGCTCTGGGCAAAATTTCCAATTCACATTGCAAAGCGAGCTGGCTATATTATACTGACAAAATCAACTCATCAGCAGACAGAAAGAGACCGAGTCAATACTGTCACTTCCTGCCGGGGCTTCTCAGTATAACAACGTGCATTATCTTTTACTGGTTTCAGACACTGTGCATTTTATCATTACATATCCATTTTGTCTTCAATACCCACAAGAGACCACAAAGGAAACATTATCCTCATTTCACAAATGAACAAACTGAGGCTTAGAGACGTTGCCTAACTTCCCAAAGTCACCTGTGGAGCTCAGATTCAAACCCAGGTCTTTCCGACTTTTTCAGATCTAACCCCAGAGCGTAAGTTTTTACCCATTCCACTATAGTAACTTTATATGTTATGAATCTAGATAAGAGCAAAGAAACCTGGAAAACAAATTGTGAAAGAATTTCATCTGTTTAGGACTCAACTATTTGGCAAGCTTCTTTGAATAAAATAGAGCCGGGAATCGGGAAAGAAACAAAAAGGATGTATAAATAGTCCAAGTAGATTTTATAAACTTCATGCATTAAAATTCACACTCATTGCTCACAGGAAAATTTCTCGGATTCCCTCTCAGATAGTTTTTAAAAATTGCAGTAAAAGACACATGACATAAAATTTATCATTTTAACCATTTTGAAGTGTACAGTTCAGTGGTATATTTATACTGCTGTGCAACCATCACTGCCTTCCATCTCGGAAACTCTTTTCACCTTGCAAAACTGAAACTCTATATCAATAGCTCCCTAATATATTCTTCCCCTAGCCTCTGGCGACTATCATTCTACTTTCTGTCTCTATGACTTTGACTACTCTAAGTACCTCATATAAGTGAAATCATACAGTTTTGTCATTTATGACTGGCTTACTTCACTTAGCATAATATCCTCAAGGTTCTTCCATGTTGCAGCATATGTCAATGTTCTCGTTTTTAAGGCTGAATACTATAACACTGTATGTATAGAGCATATTTGCTTATCCATTCATCCATCCACGAACACAAGGAGTTGCATCCACATTTCAGCTATGGTGAATGATGCTGCTATGAATATGTGTGTACAAACATCTCTTTAACACCCTTCTTGCAATTATTTTAGGTATATAACCAGAAGTGCAATTATTGGATTATATGGTAATTCTATTCTTAAGTTTTTGCAAAGTAGCCATATTGTTTTCCACAGTGGCTGCACAATTTTACATTACCACCAACAGTGCACAAGGGTTTCAATTTTCCCACATCCTCACCAAAACTTTATTTATTTATTTTAATAGTAGCCATCCTAATGGGTGTGAGTTGGCACTCATTTTAGCTTTGATTTGCCTTTTCCTAGTGTTGAGCGGTTTGTGTGGTTATTGGTCATTTGTAATGTTGTCTCTTGAGAAATGTCTATTCGAGTTCTTTGCCTATATCTGAATCAAGTTGTTAGTTTTAGAAGCACTCTATGTATTCTGGACATTAATCCTTTATTAGATATGTGATTTATGAATATTTTCTCCCATTCTATGGGCTGCTTTGTTACTCTGATAATATTGCCATTTTTTCCATTTTTTTGTAGCAAAATACACACAAGATTTACCATTTTAACAATTTTTAGGTATACAGTTCAATGACATTAAATTCACTTATAATGTTGTGCATCACCACCAATAATGACTTTTGATGCACAAATTTTATAATTTTTTCATGAAATCCAATTGTCTAATTTTTATTTGTTGCCTGTGTTTCAATGATTTTGGCAAAATCATTGTCAAATCCAATGTCATAAAGCTTTTGCCCTATGTCTTCTAATTATAGCTTTAGGCATTACATTTTACATCATGAGCCCATTTTGAGTTATTTTTTGCATACAGTGTTAAGTAAAGGTCTAACTTCATTCTTTTCCATGTGGAGATCAAGTTTCCCAACACCATTTGTTGAAAAGACTATCTTTTTCTCCATTGGATTGTCTTGGCACCCTGGCTGAAAATCATTTGACCATATTTGCAAGGGTTTGTTTCTGGGCTCTTTAGTCTATTCCATTGGTTAATATGTCTGTCTTTATTCTAATACCATAGTACTTTGATTACTGCCACTGTGTAGTAAGTTTTGAAATCAGGAAGTATGAGTCCTCCAGCTTTGTTTTTTGTTCTTTGTTCTTTTTGCTTTGGCTATTCAAGGTCTCTCAAGATTTCATGTAAATTTTAGAATGGGTTTTTCCATTTCTGCAAAAAACATCATTTGGATTTTGATAGGAATTACATTAACTCTGTAGATCATTTTGGGTGGTAGTGACATCTTAACAATAGTAAGTCTTCCAATCCATGAACATGGAATGTCTTTCCATTTATTTTGCCTTCTTTAGTTTCTTTCAGCAATGTTTTATAGTTTTCATTGTACAAGTCTTTCACCCCTTTGGTTAAGTTAATCCCTAAATATTTTATCCTTTTGATGCTATTATAAACAGAATTGTCTTCTTAATATTTTTGGATTGTTTATTTTTAGTATATAGACATACAACTGATTTTTGTTTGTGTGTATGTATATGTGTGTGTATGTTGAATTTATATCCTGCTAATTTTCTTAATTTATTTATTTGTTCTAACATTTATTGGTAGAGTTTTTGAGTTTTCTACCTATAAGATTATATAATCTACAAACAGATAATTTACTTCTTTCTTTTCAATTTGGATGCCTTTTATTCCTTTTACTTGCCTAATTGCTCTGGCTAGAACTTCCAGTACAATGTTGAATAAAAGTGGCAAAAACAAGCATCCTTGCCATGTTCCTAATTTTAGAGGAAAACTTTCAATCTTTCACCATTGAGCACAATGGTTGCTGTGGATTTTTATACATGGATTTTATTAAGTTGAAGTAGTTTCCTTCTATTGCTAGTTTCTTGAAGGTTTTTATAATGAAGAGATGTTTTTATCAAATGATTTTTTTCTGTATCAATTGACATGATTATGTGGTTTCCTTCCTTCATTCTGTTAATGGTATATTACACCAGATCTGTATTATATTGATTGATTTTTATATGCTGTGTCATCCTTGCATTTCACAAATAAATCTCACCTGGTTATGGTGTATAATCCTTTCAATATGCTACTGAATTCAATCTGCCGGTAATTTGTTGAAAATTTTTCCATGTTCATAAGAAATATGAATCTGTAGTTTTCATTTCTTGTAATGTCTTTGGTTTTAGCATCAGGGTAATGCTGGAATCAATAAATGAGTTAGGGCTGGGCACAATGGCTCACACCTGTAATTTCAGCACTTTGAGAGGCCAAGCCAGGAGGATCTCTTGAACCCAGGAGTTTGAGAGCAGCCTGGGCAACAAAGTGAGACCCTGTATCTACAAAAATCTTAAAAAGTAGCCAGGTGAGGGGGCACGTACCTGTAGTCCTAACTACTCATGAAGCTAAGGCAGGAGAATTGCTTGAGCTTAGGAGTTTAAGGCTTCAGTGAGCTATGATCATACTACTGCACACCAGCCTGGGTGACAGAGTGAGGAACTGTCTCAAAAAAAAAAAAAAAGAAAGAAAGAAAAGAAAGAGTTAGGAGGTACTTCTTCCTCTTCAAATTTTTGAAAAGTTTGACAAGTATTGGTGTTTGTTCTTTTTAAAAGTCTTGGTAAATTTCAACAGTGAAGCCATGAGGTCCAGGGATTTTCTTTGGTGAAAATTTTTGATTAGTGATTCAATCTTCTTACTGTAAGTTAAGCATCCCTAATCTGAAAATCCAAAATTCAAAATCTTCCAAAATCTAACTTTTTGACCCTTCATTTGACACCACAAGTAGAAAATTTCATACCTGACTCTCATGTGAGGGTTGCTGTCAAAACTCAGTCAAAACTTTATTTCATGCACAAAATTATTTAAAATAGTGGAGAAATTATCTTCACTTTATGTGTGTAAGATGTATATGAAACATAAATAAATGTCATGTTTAGACCTGAGTCCCATCCCTAAGATATCTCATTATGTATATGCAAATATTCCAAAATTCAAAATCTGAAACACTTCTGGTTCCAAGTATTTCAGGTAAGGGATACGGAAGCTATAGTTGTAGGTCTATTCAAATTTTCTGTTTTTTAGTGATTTAGCCTTAGAAGATTTTGTGTTTTTAGGAATTTGTCCATTTCATCCAGGGTAACCAATTTTTTGCCCTACAATAGTTCATTTACTCTCTTATAATCCTTTATATTTATGTAGAATTGATAGTAATGTCCTCACTTTCATTTCCGAGTCTAGTAATTTAAATCTTCGCTCTCATTTTCTTAGTTTATCTGGCTAAAGGTGTGTTAATGTTGTTGATCTTTTCAAAAAACTAACTTTGGTTTTGTTGATTTTGTCATTTTTTCCTCCCTATTTTGTTTATCTCTGCTTTAATTTTTACAATTTCATTTCTTCTGTTAGCTTTGGGTTTAGTTTGTTCTTCTTTTTGTGGTTCTTTAAGTTTTAAAGTTAGGTTGTTGGCTTGAGGTCTTTCTTTTTTTAAAATGAAAAAAATTGATAGCTATAATTTCCCCCTTTAGCACTGCTTTCACTGAATCTCATAAGTTTTAGTATGTTGTCCTTTCATTTTCATTAATCTCTAAGTTTTTTCTAACTTCCCTTGTCACTTCTTCAATGCATTGGTTGTTTAAGAATGTATTGTTTAGGCTGTGTGTGGTGGCTCATGCCTCTAATCCCAGCACTTTGGGAGGCCAAGGCAGGTGGATCATGAGGTCAGGAGTTCAAGACCAGCCTGGCCAAGATGGTGAAACCCTGTCCCTACTAAAAATAAAAAAAATAAAAAAATTAGCTGGGTGTGGTGGCAGGTGCCTGTAATCCTAGCTACTCAGAAGGCTGAGGCAGAGAATTACTTGAACTTGGGAGGCGGAGGTTGCAGTGAGCCAAGATTGTGCCACTGCACTCCAGCCTGGGAAACAGAGCAAGACTCCATCTCAAAAAAAATATAATTGTTTTAATTTCCACAAATTTGTGAATGGTTTTCCGTCTCTTATTGATTTCTAACTTCATTATGTTGTGTTTGTAGTATATGCTTTCTATAATATTTAGCTTTTAAAATCTATTAAGACTTTATTTGTGGCCTAACATATGGTCCTGTGTTGTGTTTGTAGTGTATGCTTTGTAAAATATTTAGCTTTTAAAATCTATTAAGACTTTGAATAGGAACAGCTCCAGTCTATAGCTCTCAGCCTAAGCGATGCATAAGATGGGTGATTTCTGCATTTCCAACTGAGGTACCGGGTTCATCTCACTGGAGCTTGTCAGACAGTGGGTGCAGCACACTGAGCATGAGCCAAAGCAGGGCGATGCATCACCTAACCTGGGAAGCGCAAGGGGTCAGGGAATTCCCTTTCATAGCCAAGCAAAGCTGTGACAGATGGCACCTGGAAAATCGGATCACTCCCACTCTAATACTGCACTTTTCCAATGGTCTTAGCAAAGAGCACACCAGGAGATTATATCCCATGCCTGGCTCAGAGGCACAGAGCCTTGCTCATTTCTAGCACAGCAGTCTGAGATCAAACTGCAAGGTGGCAGCAAGGCTGGGGGAGGGGTGCCTGCCATTGCTGAGGCTTCAGTAGGTAAACAAAGTGGCCAGGAAGCTCGAACTGGGTGGAGCCCACCACAGGTCAAGGAGGCCTGCCTGCCTCCATAGACTCCACCTCTGGGGGCAGGGCATAGCTGAACAAAAGGCAGCAGAAACCTCTGCAGACTTAAATGTCCCAGTCTGACAGCTTTGAAGAGAGTAGTGTTTCTCCCAGCATGGAGTTTGAGAACTGAGAACAGACAGACTGCCTCCTCAAGTGGGTCCCTGACCCCCAAGTAGCCTATCTGGGAGGCACCCCCCAGTAGGGGCAGACCAACACCTCACACGGCCAGGTGTCCCTCTCAGACGAAACCTCCAGAGGAACAATCAGACAGCAACATTTGCTGTTCAGCAATATTCGCTGTTTTGTAGCCTCTGCTGCTGATACCCAGAAAAACAGGGTCTGGAGTGGACCTCCAGCAAACTCCAACACACCTGCAGCTAAGGGTCCTGACTGTTAAAAGGAAAACTAACAAACAAAAAGGACATCCACACCAAAACCCAGTATGTCACCATCATCAAAGACCAAAGGTAGATAAAATCACAAAGATGGGGAGAAAACAGAGCAGAAAAACTGAAAATTCTAAAAATCAGAGTGCCTGTCCTCCTCCAAAGGAACACAGCTCCTCACAAGCAATGGAACAAAGCTGGACGGAGAATGACTTTGACGAGTTGAGAGAAGAAGGCTTCAGACAATCAAACTTCTCCAAGCTAAAGGAGGAAGTTCGAATCCATCACAAAGAAGTTTAAAAACATTGAAAAAAGAATAGATGAATGGCTAACTAGAATAACCAATGCAGAGAAGTCCTTAAAGGACCTGCTGGAGCTGAAAACCATGGCACAAGAACTACGTGACGAATGCACAAGCTCCAGTAGCTGATTCAATCAACTGGAAGAAAGGGTATCTGTGATGGAAGATCAAATGAATGAAATGAAGTGAGAAGAGAAGTTTAGAGAAAAAAGAATCAAAAGAAACGAACAAAGCCTCCAAGAAATATGGGACTATGTGAAAAGACCAAAGCTACGTCTCATTGGTGTACCTGAAATTGACAGGGAGAATGGAACCAAGTTGGAAAACACTCTGCAGGATATTATCCAGGAGAACTTCCCCAAACTAGCAAGGCAGGCCAACATTCAAATTAAGGAAATATAGAGAATGCCACAAAGATACTCTTCAAGAAGATCAACTCCAAGACACATAATTGTCAGATTCACCAAAGTTGAAATGAAGGAAAAAATGTTAAGGGCAGCCAGAGAGAAAGATCACGTTACCCACAAAGGGAAGTCCATCAGACTAACAGCTGATCTCTCGGCAGAATCTCTACAAGCCAGAAGAGAGTGGGGGCCAACATTCAACATTCTGAAAGAAAAGAATTTCCAATCCAGAATTTCATACCCAGCCAAACTAAGCTTCATAAGTGAACTGAAGGAGAAATAAAATCCTTTTCAGACAAGCAAATGCTGAGAGATTTTGTCACCACCAGGTCTGCTGTACAACAGCTCCTGAAGGAAGCACTAAACATGGAAAGGAACAACCAGTACCAGCCACTGCAAAAACATGCCAAATTGTAAAGACCATCGAGACTAGGAAGAAACTGCATCAACTAATGAGCAAAATAACCAGCTAACATCATAATGACAGGATCAAATTCACACATAACAATATTAACCTTAAATGTAAATGGGCTAAATACCCCAATTGAAAGACACAGACTGGCAAATTGGATAAAGACTCAAGACTCATCAGTGTGCTGTATTCAGGAAACCCATCTCACGTGCAGAGACACACATAGGCTCAAAATAAAGGCATGGAGGAAGATCTACCAAGCAAATGGAAAACAAAAAAAGGCAGGGGTTGCAATCCTAGTCTCTGATAAAACAGACTTTAAACGAACAAAGATCAAAAGAGACAAAGAAGGCCATTACATAATGGTAAAGGGATCAATTCAACAAGAAGAGCTAACCATCCTAAATATATATACACCTAATACAGGAGCACCCAGATTCATAGAGCAAGTCCTTAGAGACCTACAAAGAGACTTAGACTCCCAAATAATAATAATGGGAGACTTTAACACCCCACTGTCAACATTAGACAGATCAATGAGACAGAAAGTTAACAAATGAGACAGAAAGATATCCAGGAATTGAACTCAGCTCTGCACCAAGTGGACCTAATAGACATCTACAGAACTCTCCACCACAAATCAGCAGAACATACATTTTTCTCAGCACCACACTGCACCTATTCCAAAACTGACCACATAGTTGGAAGTAAAGCACTCCTCAGCAAATGTAAAAGATCAGAAATTATAACAAACTATATCTCAGACTACAGTGCAATCAAACTAGCACTCAGAATTAAGAGATTAACTCAAAACCACACAACTACATGGAAACTGAACAACCTGCTCCTGAATGACTACTGGGTGCATAACAAAATGAAGGCAGAAATAAAGATGTTCTTGGAAACCAATGAGAACAAAGACACAACATACCAGAATCTCTGGGACACATTTAAAGCAGTGTGTAGAGGGAAATTTATAGCACTAAATGCCCACAAGAGAAAGCAGGAAAGATCAAAAATTGACATCCTAACATTACAACTAAAACAACCAGGGAAGCAAGAGCAAACATATGCAAAAGCTAGCAGAAGGCAAGAAATAACTAAGATCAGAGAAGAACTGAAGGAGATAGAGACACAAAAAACCCTTCAAAAAATCAATGAATCCAGGAGCTGGTTTTTTGAAAATGTCAACAAAATTGATAGATCGCTGGCAAGACAAATAAACAAGAAAAGAGAGAAGAATCAAGTAGATGCAATAAAAAATGATAAAGGGGATATCACCACTGATCCCACAGAAATACAACTACCATCAGAGTATACTATAAACACCTCTATGCAAATAAACTAGAAAATCTGGAAGAAATGGATAAATTCCTCGACACATACACCTTCCCAAGACTAAACCAGGAAGAAGTTAAATCTCTGAATAGACCAATAACAGGCTCTGAAATTGAGGCAATAATTAATAGCTTACCAACCAAAAAAAGTCCAGGACCAGATGGATTCACAGCTGAATTCTACCAGAGGTACAAGGAGGAGCTGGTACCATTCCTTCTGAAACTGTTCCAATCAATAGAAAAAGAGGGAATCCTCCCTAACTCATTTTATGAGGCCAGCATCATCCTGATACCAAAGCCTGGCAGAGACACAACAACAAAAAAAGAGAATTTTAGACCAAATCCTTGATGAACGTCAATGCAAAAATCCTCAGTAAAATACTGGCAAACCAAATCCAGCAGCACATCAAAAAGCTTACCCACCATGATCAAGTGGGCTTCATCCCTGGGATGCAAGCCTGGTTCAACATACGCAAATCAATACATGGAATCCAGCATATATACAGAACCAAAGACAAAAACCAAATGATTATCTCAATAGATGCACAAAAGGCCTTTGACAAAATTCAACAGCACTTCATGCTAAAAACTCTCAATCAATTAGGTATTGATGGAGTGTATATCAAAATAATAAGAGCTATTTATGACAAACCCACAGCCAATAACATACTGAATGGGCAAAAACTGGAAGCATTCCCTTTGAAACCTGGCACAAGACAGGGATGCCCTCTCTCACCACTCCTATTCAACATAATGTTGGAAGTTCTGGCCAGGGCAATCAGGCAGAAGAAAGAAATAAAGGGTATTCAATTAGGAAAAGAGGAAGTCAAATTGTCCCTGTTTGCAGATGACATGATTGTGTATCTAGAAAACCCCATCGTCTCAGCCCAAAATCTCCTTAATCTGATAAGCAACTTCAGCAAAGTCTCAGGATATAAAATCAATGTACAAAAATCACAAGCATTCTTATACACCAATAACAGACAAACAGAGAGCCAAATCATGAGTGAACTCCCATTCACAATTGCTTCAAAGAGAATAAAATATTTAGGAATCCAACTTACAAGGGATGTGAAGGACTTCTTCAAGGAGAACTACAAATCACTGCTCAACAAAATAAAAGAGGACACAAACAAATGGAAGAACACTCCATGCTCATGGATAGGAAGAATCAATATCGTGAAAATGGCCATACTGCCCAAGGGAATTTATAGATTCAATGCCATCCCCATCAAGCTACCAATGACTTTCTTCACAGAATTGGAAAAAACTACTTTAAAGTTCATATGGAATCAAAAAAGAGCCCTCATTGCCAAGACAATCCTAAGCAAAAAGGACAAAGCTGGAGGCATCATGCTACCTGACTTCAAACTATACTACAAAGCTACAGTAACCAAAACAGCATGGTAATGGTACCAAAACAGAGATATAGACCAATGGAACAGAACAGAGCCCTCAGAAATAATACCACACATCTACAACTATCCGATCTTTGACAAACTTGACAAAAACAAGAAATGGGTAAAGGATTCTCTATTTAACAAATGGTGCTGGGAAAACTGGCTAGCCATATGTAGAAAGCTGAATCTGGATCCCTTCCTTACAGCTTATACAAAAATTAATTCAAGATGGATTAAAGACTTAAACGTTAGACCTAAAACCATAAAAACCCTAGAAGAAAACCTAGGCATTACCATTCAGGACATAGGCATGGGCAAGGACTTCATGTCTAAAACACCAAAAGCAATGGCAACAAAAGACAAAATTGACAAATGGGATCTAATTAAACTAAAGAGCTTCTGCACAGCAAAAGAAACTACCATCAGAGTGAATAGGCAACCTACAGAATGGGAGAAAAATTTTGCAATCTACTCATCTGACAAAGAGCTAATATCCAGAATCTACAAAGAACTCAAACTAATTTACAAGAAAAAAACAAACAACCCCATCAAAAAGTGGGCGAATTATATGAACAGACACTTCTCAAAAGAAGACATTTATGCAGCCAACAGACACATGAAAAAATGCTCATCATCACTGGGCATCATAGAAATGCAAATCAAAACCATAATGAGATATCATCTCACACTAGTTAGAATGGCAATCATTAAAAAGTCAGGAAACAACAGGTGCTGGAGAGGATGTGGAGAAATAGGAACACTTTTACACTGCTGGTGGGACTTTAAACTAGTTCAACCACTGTGGAAGACAGTGTGGCGATTCCTCAGGGTTCTAGAACTGGAAATACCATTTGACCCAGCCTTTCCATTACTGGGTATATACCCAAGGAATATAAATCATGCTGCTATAAAGACACAGGCACACGTATGTTTATTGCGGCACTACTCACAATAGCAAAGACTTGGAACCAACCCAAATGTCCAACAATGATAGACTGGATTAAGAAAATGTGGCACATATACACCATGGAATACTATGCAGCCATAAAAAATGATGAGTTCATGTCCTTTGTAGGGACATGGATGAAGCTGGAAACCATCATTCTCAGCAAACTATCGCAAGGACAAAAAACCAAACACTGCATGTTCTCACTCATAGGTGGGAATTGAACAATGAGAACACCTGGACACAGGAAGGGGAACATCACACACCAGGGCCTGTTGTGGGATGGGGGGGTGGGGGGAGTGGGGACGGATAGCATTAGGTGATATACCTAATTTATATGACGAGCTAATGGGTGCAGCACACGAACATGGCACATGTATACATATGTAACAAACCTGCACGTTGTGCACATGTACCCTAGAACTTAAAGTATAATAAATATATATATATATAAAATAATAAAATCTATTCAGACTTAATCTGTGACCTAACATATGGTCCATCCCAGAAAATGTCCCATGTCCACTTGAGGAGAATGTGCATTTTGTTGTTGGGTGGACTGCTCTATATACATCTACTAGATCTAGTTGTTTTATTGTGTGGTTTAAATCTTCTATTTCCTTACTTATCTTTTGTCTAGTTGCACTGTTATTGATAGTGGGATATTGAAGTCTCAATTTCTTCTTTCAATTCTGTACATTTTTGATCCATAAATTTTGATAGTCTGTTATTAGGTGCACAGACATTTATAATTGTTATATCATTTTGCTGTATTGGCCTTTTTATGCATATATAATGTTATTTTTGTCTCCTGTAATCTTTTTGATATGTCTATTTTCTCCAATATTAGTTATAGTCATCCCAGCTCTCTTCTGGTTACTATTTGCATGAAGGAGCTTTTTCCATCTTTTCACTTTCAATCTGTTTGTCTGGATATAAGGTTAGTTTCTTTAGACAGCATATAGTTGGATCATGTTTCTTTTTTAATCCATTTTGCCAATCTCTGTGTTTTGACTGGAGAATTTCATCCATTTATATTTAAAGTAATTATTGATAAGGAGGGACTTACTTCTGTCACTTTGCTGTTTGTTTCCTACGTGCCTTACAGCTTTTTTGTCCCTCATTTTCTGCATTACATCTTCTTTTGTGTTTAATCAATTTTTTTGTAGTAAAATATTTAAATTTCTTTTTCATTTCTTTATGTGTATATTCTATAGCTAATTCTATGTGGTTACCATGGGGATTGCATTTAACACACTAAAGTTATAACACTCTAATTTGAATTTATAACTTCAATGACATACAAAAATTATCTTTTATATCTCCATCCATGCCCTTCAGTTATTGATGTGACACATCTTTATACATTGTGTGTTCCAAAACATAAACTAATATTTTTTAAATGCACTAGTCTCTTAACTTATGTACCCTTTAATTTAAACCTACAAGATTTACTTTAGTATTTCTTGTAGAGCAGGTCTAGTGGGAGCAAAGTCCCTCAGCTTTATTTATCTGTGAATGTCTTAATTTCTCCCTCACTTCTGAAGGATAATTTTGACAGGTATAGGATTTTTCATTGACAGGTTTTTTTCTGTTTAGCGCTTTGAATATATCAGTCCACTCCCTTCTGGCTTCCAAAGTTTCTGATAAGAAATCTGCTAATATTTTTATGGAGAATCTTTTGTATGTGATTAGTTACTTCTCTCTCACTGCTTTCAACGTTCTCTTTTTATATTTGTATTTCAACTGTTTAATTACAGTATGTGTTGGTGTGGGTGTCTGTATTAGTCCATTCTTGCATTGCTATAAAGAAATACCTGAGACTGAGTAATTTATTAAGAAAAGAAGTTTAGACTTCAGCAGGCTGTACAGGAATCATTATGCTGGCATTTGCTTGGCTTCTGGGGAGACCTCAGGAAACTTACAATCATTGTGGAAGGTGAAGGGGATGCAAGCACAGAGCAGCAAGAGAGAGAGTGAGTGGGGAGGTGTGACATGCTTTTAAACAACAAGATCTCACGAAAACTCACTCACTATCAGGAGAACAGCACCAAGGGGGTGATGCTAAACAATTCATGAGAAATCTGATCCCATGCTCCAATCACCTCCCACCAGGCCTCACCTCCAACATTGGGGATTACAACTGAACATGAGATTTGGGTGGGGACACAGATTGAAACCATATCAGTGTCTTTGAGTTTATCTTATTCAAAGTTCATTGAGCTTTTGGATGTTTATAATCATGTCTCTCATTAAATTTAGAATGCTTTGGCCACTATTTCTTCAAATATTCTTTCTGTTTTTTATCATTTTTCTTCTTGGACTCCCACAGTGCATGGATCAGTCCATTTGATGGCGTTCTATGGGTCCCTTACATTATGTTCACTTTTCTTCAATTTGTTTTACTTCTGTTCCTCAGAGTAGATAATTTCTTTTGTCCTATATTCAAGGTTACAAGCTCCAGAATTTTTTTGTGGTTTCTCTTTAGGTTTTCTGTCTCTTTACTGATATTTCCATTTTTGCATACATTGTTTTCTTGACTTTCCTTATGTCTTCCTTTAAATATTTGAGCATTTTTAAGATGGTTGTTTAAAGTTTTTGGTCCATTCAGAATTAGGTGTTTTTCAGGAACAGTTTCTCTTGGTTTATTGTTTATTTTTTTCTTTTGAATGAGTCTTTCTTTCTTGTTTCTTTGTACACCTGGTGATTTTTTTGTTGAAAAGTGGACATTTGAATAATGTAGTAACTCTGGATATCAGATTCTCCCCCTTCTCCAGGGTTTTGGTTTTTGTTTTTGTTTGTCTATTGATTATTGTAGGCTATCTCTGTGCTGAGGATCAGCCTGAGGCATAAACCTAAAGTCCTCTCAGTCCTTTTCTGAGCCTCTGCCTTTCCCTGGGCAGGCACTACGACTTTCTAATTTCTCTGTATATGTAGTCGCTTTTGGACGTTCTAGTTTTTAATGTATTGTCCCCAAAGAGGAAAAAGACAAAATGAAGGGGAAAAAATGTGCCAGCCATTTAAATGCTCTGAAAATCACTTCAGCCAGAGAAAGAGGGACTTCGAATAATAGAGAGAGGTGCAACAATAGGGGCTTCCTGCCCCTTTGTTTATATCTCTGTAATCAGAAGCAGCGATCAGCAAACAGGTCCCAAACATTAGGACAGGGTCCTTTTTGCCCTCTCTAGCTCCCTCAAGCTGTGTGCAATCTGCTCCAGGAACATGTGTACAGCTGCCTGCCAGAGGGTTGAGGTAGTTGTTACTGTGCCAAGAACTGAAATGGACCAAAAGAAACTGTAATTTACTTTCTGAGCCTTTCCCTGGAAGTTGCAAGCATTGAAGATACTCCGGAGTTCCAAAATAGTTACATTAGCCAGATTCTGCCATTGTGATTGTTGTGTAGGTGGGGAGACACACTTCTGGTGCTTCCTATTCTGCCATTTTCCCAGAATCCTCCTTTCAGGGAACTTTTATTGTTATTTTACACACAATTCTGACAAGATTAAGTATCTGGTATCCAAGCCTATAGTAGATCAGAAGTAGCAATTCAGAAGGAGGAAAGTAAGCTTTAATGAGCAGGCCCACTGCCTCACATATACTTAGTGGTGCCTAGAGCAATGCTCTCCCTGCCTCAGTGTCTGCTGTTGGAGCCATCCCTGCTCCACCGAGGGCTACTGCTCTACTACCCACAGACCCCTGCCTGTCCTATTCACTCTAGATCTTTTCTCACTTTGCAGCTGGTTAGAGACATCTGCTTTTCCTAGTTGGAGACCAGCCATTTCAGAGAAAGGTAACCACAGCAGAGATGTGCCACACATGATACAGTTCTTCTCCTTCCTCTACTCCTTAATCACCATCTTCTCTTTCTAAACCCGCAGAACACCAACTCTTTCCAGCAGCCCAGACTCTGCAGTTAAGCCTGAACCACTCTGTGCAATATATATCTTTATACTAAGATGATTTTTCCTTAAAGGCTCAATTGCCTCTTCCTGAAGTTTAATGATTTTTGTTTTGGGGGGAGGTTCTCTCTTTTACATTAAAACTTTCTACACATCGTAAGCCCCATTTGCGAGCTGTATTCTATTTAGTTCATTTACCCTGAGTTTCCGGATCACTGTAAGTTGAGAGATAAAACTGAACATCTAGCGACAACATTCCAAGGGAGTTAAATTTCTGGAACTTTCTAACACAGTTAGGAAGTCAGTCAGCCAGGATCATGCAGATGACCTCTAGGGGGCAGTACTTCCTAGTTCCACAGGCCAGCCTATCAGAGACTTTGCTCTGGCTTAGCAAAAAATAATCTTACATCATCATTAGCTTCCCACCAAATTAGTAAGCATACACAAACACAGGCATGTGTGTACATGCATGCACACATGCACACACACAAATTAACTTTCATATTCAATCCTGGCAATGGTACAGTAAAACTGTTGCTTTCAAATATTGATGATGATATTGGAACGTATTTGGAAAGCAATATAGTAAAATGTATCAAAAATTCTAAAAAATGTTTGCTGACGTAGTAATTCTGTTAACCTATATGTGGTCTCAAAAGATCATCTAAAATGTGGGGACAGATATGTCCTGCATTATTTATAATGTTAAAAATTATAAGAAAATTGGCTGGGTGCAGTGGCTTAAGCCTGTAATCCCAGCACTTTGGGAGGCCGAGGCGGGCAGATCACGAGGTCAGGAGATCGAGACCATCCTGCCTAACACGGTGAAACCCCGTCTCTACTAAAAATACAAAAAAATTAGCTGGGCGTGGTGGTGGGCGCCTGTAGTCCCAGCTACTCAGGAGGCTGAGGCAGGAGAATGGCGTGAACCCGGGAGGCGGAGCTTGCAGTGAGCCAAGATTGCGCCACTGCACTCCAGCCTGGGCGACAGAGCGAGACTCTGTCTCAAAAAAAAAGAAAGAAAGAAAGAAAGAGAATTAAAAGCCAATAATAGATTAAAGATATTATACTACCTTTATCCAATGGAATTCTATGTTGATATTAAAATAATTTACATAAAGTCTATGTTACAATATATGCATGGTACAATAGCTACCATTTATTAAATGCTTACTATGTTCCAAGCTGTATATTAGATATGTATGGATATTACTTCCTTTCTGTCTCACAATAACCCTAGGAAGCAGGGTTTAAGGCTCTCTCGTTTTGTTGTTGCTGTTTTTTTTTTGTTTGTTTGTTTGTTTTTGAGACAGAGTCTTGCTCTGTCGCCCAGGCTAGAGTGCAGTGGCATAATCTTGGCTCACTGCAACCTCTGCCTCCCGGGTTCAAGCAATTCTCCTGCCTCAGCCTCCTGAGTAGCTGGGATTACAGGTGCATGCCACCATGCCTGGCTAATTTTTGTGTTTTTTTAGTAGAGACGGGGTCTCACCATGTTGGCCAGGCTGATCTTGAGCTCCTGACCGTGTGATCCTCCCTCCTCAGCCTTCCAAAGTGCTGGGATTACAGGATTACAGGCATAAGCCACCGCTCCCAGCCTATTTAAGGCTCCCTTAAAGGTTCTTCCTTCATGCTCGCTTCCCTCTTCCTATCTAGCTAGTCTCCTTTTCCACTTGATGAAAAGAGAACTCCTTATAGAAGCTCATAGCTGACTCCAGAGCCTGGGAGTTTAACCACTATCCTAAACTGTCTCCTATCTAATATGATACTAAACGGAAAAGCAAAAAGGAATTAGATTACAAAATTATTATATCCACTACAATTTAAACTTGACAGATGTTGCCTTTAGAAAAAATCTTGGAAATGAATACACAGGATTGATGACAGTTGTTTTAGGGTAATGGGATGCTAATTTTTTCAAAATTTTTTTGTAATATAGTTTATTCTTATAAGCTTAAATATTTTAAGGCCAAAATGAAAATTTTTGGGTTCTCAAATGATGAATCATTCTTTCCTTGCTCTAAAACATTCATCATGGTCATTGTAATGTTTTCACATTTTAAAAATATGCTAAGCAATTAAAAATGTTTTCCACAACATATGTGAAAGTAATGGTGATTAAGCATTGAAGCTTTAGAGCTTAAGGGGAGAAATATTGATAATCTCACAGAAACTCATCAATATAGTGCTGTGTAGGTTTTTATTTTATGTACATTGGCTCACTTGATCTTTCCAATGCCTGAAAGTTAGAACTTCAACTTTCTGAAAGTTGTCCAGAAAGCTAATTCCCTCAAGGCTCAATGAAGTCCCAGCTCTACCATATTTACTGTATTTACTGGCTAGTCTACATGTCCCAGAAAAAAGCCACTGGGGTGCTTTGCTCAACCCCACTTAGCACAGCTGGAAACACAGCTGCAGGATGCAGCTGTTCAAATCTCTCAAATAATCATCACTGAAAAATGCTGAAGAGGAAGGCCCTTTTGAAGATTCCTCTTTATCACCCCCCACTTCTGCCTGTCCCTGCAGGCCGGCTTCCCTTTCCCACTTAATAGGAAGAACACTTCTACTTACTGTTGTTAAACAACTAACAGCTGGTGAAAGAGGCGGCACCTGACTTCTTCCCCGCACTTAAGGCTCTCACAAACATAAATGCAACTGCAGAAATTTGGGGGACAAATATTGCCCCCACTGGGTAAAATCTCAGCAGAAACTGCAGCTTTTTTTTTTTTTGAGACAGAGTTTCACTCTTGTTGCCAAGGCTGGAGTGCAATGGTGCGATCTTGGCTCACTTCCACCTCTGCCTCCAGGGTTCAAGCGATTCTCTGCCTCAGCCTCCTGAGTAGCTGAGACTACAGGTGCTTGCCACCATGCCCAGCTAATTTTTTGTATTTTTAGTAGAGATGGGGTTTCACCATGTTAGGATGGTCTCGATCTCCTGACCTCGTGATCCACCTGCCTTGGCCTCCCGAAGTGCTGGCATTACAGGAGTGAGCCACCACGCCTGGCCAAAACAGTAGCTTTAATTCAGACTTAAAACACCTAACAGGGAAAACAAACTCTAAATGCCACTCCTCTTTTTTAAAAGTATAATTTTCTTCTGATTATAAAATTAATGCCTCATGTAGAAAAATGCAAAAATGAAAATGAGTTTAAAGAACATAAAATCACCGTAAGTGCTTTCACCCAGAAATAGCCTCTAATAATATACATATTTTTAAGAATCCTGACCTTTAAAAACTATGTGATTATATGTATTTTTCAAAAACATACATTTACATGCACTTTTAAATTCTGCCATTTGAGAATCATACTGCATATACCAGTTTCCTAATTTATTTTCAGTTAACATTACTTGGATCTTCCCATTTTATTAACTAAGCTGCAAAATTACATTTTTAATGTGTTATGCATAATATCATAACTTTAGAAACCATTCCCCCTACAGTTTTGTTGTAATATTAGCACCATCTGACTCCTCTTCCTGTATTCCTTAACTCCACTGTATCCTCATGGGCATTTAACACTCTCTGGCTTCAGTGAGAATTAAGCACAGGAAAAGGAAAAGCAGGCCATCTGTGCAGGAAGGTAAAACCAGTGTAAATTAAATGGGGTGTGAAAAAAAGGCACTTATGCTCTTTAAATATGTGCTACTTGAAAGAAATGCTTACCTATGTACAGAACTAATCACTGGACACACAAGCTTCAGGTGAATGATGGGTGCTAAGTGTTCTTTGTTCACAAAGCAAAAGCAATCCTATTTTTCAAAATAAGCTTTATAGCTCCAAAATGAACAAAAGAGATTTTGATCAAATCTTAAACATTTCAAGGACATTAAGCCAAACACAAAACAAACCTCCACCTCTGGTGATAGTGCCATTCTCCTCCTGGCCCTACTTATCAGCTCAGTTATTTTTGACTCTTTCTATTCATCCAGAGCTGTTTGCTCACACATTGTCATCTCCTTCTCACTGATGAGTTTTTGTTCTTCCATTTTTTTTTCTACTTCTCCCACCACTCATCTCCTCCTTGTCTTCATTGGAACACTTGCAGTGGAATAACATGGTGATAGAGAATGTGGGGTTTGAAGTCATGCTGAGCTTTTGAATTCTGTCTGTGGCAACTTATGCAAATAATTTATCCTCTCTGTCCCTTAGCCTCCAATTTGACAGATGGGGATGATGGTACCTACTTCATAGGACTGTTGTGAGGAGTACGTGTTACTTTCTGTAATGCACTATTAAAATAGTGCCCAGCACAGTGAGCACTTGACCAATATTGCTATTGTTCTTACTACTGGAGGAGCTCCCTCAATGTTTTCTCTGCTTTTAGGCTCTCAACTCACACACAAGAATAACTATAGTGACCTCTGTTGCCAGCTGTTTGCCTCCTGTGTGCCTAAGCTCAATACATGTTTTATTTTTATTCCTTACAACATTCTGTCCACTAGATATTATGCTCCGTTTTACAGATGGGAAAACAGACTTGAAAAAAATTACAATCCATCTTTTACAATTTCATTAAAAAACTGCAACATCCATTTTAGTCACATGATTTCTTTGCTCAAATGTCCCTAAGATATTCTATTAACTGCACACACCACTCTCACACACCTTACTTCAGTTTTCCAATCACAGATATTGGGTTAGTGTCTGTTAACTCATTCTCACTGCAACACAACGTAGCCATTCCAAATCTATCTCTCTGCCTTCTCAGCTCCAGTCCTGAGGTTCCTTTTTATTTTGCTCATGCTCCTTCCTTTCCTTATTACCATTTTCTATCATAAGAAAAGATTTAAATCTTCACCTTCTTCTAGAAGTGCAGTGAAATACTCTGTTCTTGTACTTCTTGGAGTACTTCACTCACATTGAAGGTCCCTAATTTAACTATGGATACCTTTTTAAAAAGAATCAATGCATGTGGTCAAAGATAAAATGATTGGTATATGTTGGTGAAATTTTGGAACAAGACATTGTGATTTTAAGATTTTTCCAGCCACTGACAGAGAAGCATAGTTTAGATGGCTGAGGTGGCCAAGCTGGCAGTGATGGTTTAAAGCTTCTCAGACTTCAGTGTGCAAAGCAATCACTTAGGGAACTGGCTAAAATCACTTAGGGAACTGGCTAAAATCACTTAGGGAACTGGTTAAAATCGCTTAGGGAACTGCTCAAAATGCAGATTCTGATTCTGCAGGCCTAGAGTGGAGCCTGATGTTCTGCATATCTGATAAAGTCTCAGGTGATGATGATGCTGATGCTGTTGATTCTTGAGTAGCAAGGGTTGAGGAGACATTCTCAAGGAAAAAATGGAAAAACTCTAATCGAGAACCATAGAAAAACACTAACTAATAAAGAGATAAAAAGCAAAAGTAACCTACAAATGACAAATATTTGTCAAGGAATAGAAAGACCCAAAGTTTTAAGGGATTTCAGGAATAAATTTGACTGGATGTACTTTTCATCTTTTATATTAACTTTAGATCCAAATTCTGCACGCCTCTCATGCACCTCTCCGTCACATAGGATTTATTATCTGCACTGTCTCCTAGCACTTTCTGGTCACTCCTGCATTCCATGTCCACTAGCGCTTTAGAATAATGTTTAAAGGCCTCTAGACGTCAGAACTTTTTATAGGTAAACGTGCAAAGAATTTAGGAAGTTGTAATGGGATGAAGCGGGAGGAAAAGAACAAGATCAGGAGTTAGAATTAGAGATTTTTGGAAGTAAGGTGATGGTCCAGAGAAACATCTTCAAACAAAATCTGGGACCAATGATCTGACAATAGAATAGCCAAAGTGAGCACAGATCATATATTTGAAAATTTAAAGCATGGGACACATCGTCCACACACATATAGAAAATAGTTGAGGAGACTAGAGGTACTTAGGCTGAGGAAGACGGAAAAAAGACAGATTGGCAGGGAAGGAGAGGGGAAGGGCATTGCAGAGAGAATACATGAGAAGCTACCTCAAATATCTGGAGTATGTGTCATCTCATGAAATAACTGTTTATTTCCAGTCCAAGGAGCTGAAAGACTATTTATCAGGAAGTGATTATAGGAAATTATCATATGGAGGAATATATTATGAAGAAAATTCCAGCATCCCAGCTTGGATTGCTGTCTTTCTATGATGGTTTCAAGATCTGGCCACTTATTCAGCTGACACCTGCGTTGCCACTGGTAAGTCTAGTCTTTTCAGGGACTTTGCAAGCTTCTTGAGAGGTTCAACCCCATAAGTAAATCTCTTTCTCCTTCTTTTTTTTTTTTAGACAGAGTCTCGCTCTGTTGCCCAGGCTGGAGCACAGTGGCCTAATCGGCTCACTGCAACCTCCGCCTCCCGGGTTCAACCTATTCTCATGCCTCAGCCTTCTGAGTAGCTGAGATTACAGGTGCCTGCCAACATACCCGGCTAATTTTTGTATTTTTATTAGAGACAGGGTTTTGCCACGTTGACCAGGCTGGTTTGGAACACCTGACCTCAAGTGATCCACCTGCCTCAGCCTCAAAATGCTGGGATTACACGTGTGAGCCACCGCACCCCACCCTCCTTCCTCTTTTTAGTGTGCCCTCTGGCCCATTTCTCCTTTTCTCCACCTAAAAATGTGAAAGTTTCTTGTGGAACAGAAGTCACAGAGACTGACTAGATGTCTGGTGATAACATTTTCTAAGCTAAATATAAGAAGCCCTGCTTTGACTTATAATCTGGTAACAGAGCCCACAGCTGATGTGGGCTGTGTCTCCCTAACCCAGCATATATAACCCCAGCCCCTCCAGAGGAGTGGCAGGTAGAGTCGGAATGGTTCCCCTGCTCCACTTGCTGTGGGCTCTCACCACAATGGGGACAGGTATTGAGGAAAAGCAGAAGGACTGGAGGCAGGGAAGCCATGAAGCAAGCATTGCTCCTTCCTCCTCTAAAAAAGGAAAAGTTCCCCTGTGAGGTTTCCTAGTTGAATTTATCAGCAAATACCTTAATCAAAGTTCATACTTTAGCAGGGACTCTTCTGAAATTCACTGAATCCAGGCACTGGACATAGGGGAGGCCCTGGAGTGGCAGTGGAGGGTAGGAGTGGCACAACGAAGGAAATAGGCTGATAAGGGAGGTAAGGAGGGCACCAGGATACTCTGTCCAGAGTTGGCTGTGCCACAGGTTGCCCTTTCCTCTTGTGTTATCTTGCCCATAGATTCTGTTACAGGAGTTATCTCCCTTTCTCAGAGAAAGAGCTGAGGTGGAGAGGATTTTAGTAGGAGAGTAGTGCATTGATGGTTTCCCCAGAGAAGGAGCTGTAGCCAATTGGACTATGTGTAGCATGTGTGTGTGTGTGTGTGTGTGTGTGTGTGTGTGTGTGTATACATACCAATGTGTGCAGGTGTGCCTGAGAGCTTGTGTGTTTTGCAACTTCAACTGATCAGAGGAGCATATATCTTTAACTACCCAAGTGGTAATGATAATGATGATGGCTAAGATTCATTTGGCTGTTTCTATATGGTGCTATTCTAGAGGCTTTACATACATTAACTCAATTTTCACAAGGACATTTTGAGCAAGAACTCTTTTAATCCCCACTTTGCAGACAAGAAAACTGATGGACAACGTGGTAAAGTAACTTGCCCAAGGTCATGCAGCCAGCACGGGGCAGAGCCTAGGTTTGAAACCAGACTGCCTGATTCGAGTCTGCTTTCTTTATTTAAAAAAATTTTAATTGATACCTAATAATTGTACATATTATGGGGTACATGTGATATTTGGATACATCCATACAATGTGTAATGATCAAATCAGAGTATTCAGGATATTCATCATCTCCAACATTTATCATTGCTTTGTACAGGGAACATAGAAAATCTCTTCTAGCTATTTTGAAATATACAATAAATTGTTAATTATAGGCACCCTACTGTACTATTGAACACCAGAACTTACTCATTCTATCAAACTAATGTTGATCACCCATTAATCAATCTCTCTTCATCCCCCTACCCTGACCCTTCCCAACCTGTGGTAACTATCATTCTACTCTCTTATTTCCATGAGATCAACTGTTTTAGCTCTCACATATGAGTGAGAACATCTGTTATTTGTCTTTCTGTGCCTGGCTTATTTCAGTTAACATAATGACTCCCAGTTCCATTTATGTTGCCGCAAATAGCAGGATTTCTTTTTTATGTCTGAATAGTATTCCATTATGTTTATATACCACATTTTACTTATTTATTCATCTGTTGATGGACACAGGTTGATTCCATATCTTAAGTACTGTGAATAGTGCTATAGTCAACACGGTGTGCAGGTGTTCTTTTGATATTTCTTTTCTTTTTAATAAATACCCATTAGTGGGATTGCTGGATCATATGATAGCTCTATTTTCAGTTTTCTGAGAAACCACCATACTATTTTCCATAATGGCTGTAGTAATTTACATTCTCACCAACAGTGGGTAAGTTCTCTTTTCCACATCCTTGCTAGAATTTGTTAATTTTTTTTATAATAGCCATTCTAACTGGGGTGGGATGATATATCATTGTAGTTTAATTTGTATTTCCTTGATGATTAGTTCTGTTGATTTTTTTTTGAGATGGAGTCTCGCTCTGTCACCAGGCTGGGGTGCAGTGGCACGACCTCGGCTCAGTGCAACCTCTGCCCCCCAGGTTCAAGCGATTCTCCTGCCTCAGCCTCCCGAGTAGCTGGGATTACAGATGCACACCACCATACCCAGCTAATTTTTGTATTTTTAGTAGAGACGGAGTTTCACCATGTTGGCTAAGATGGTCTAAATCTCCTGACCTCGTGATCCACCCTCCTCGGTCTCCCAAAGTGCTGGGATTACACGCATGAGCCACTTGTATGTCTTTTTTTGAGAAATATCTATTTATATCCTTTGCTCATGTTTTGATATTGTTTTTTTCACTGTTAAATTGAATTCCTGTGTATTCTGGATATTAGTCCCTTGTCAGATAAATACATTGCAACTATTTTCTCTCATTCTGCAGGTGTCTCTTCACTCTGTTGATTGTTGCCTTTGCTTTGCAGAACTTTTTAGTTTAATATAGTCCCATTTGTCTAGTTTTGTTTTTGTTGTCTGTGCTTTTGAGGTCTTAGCCACAACATCTTTGCTTATACCAATGTCCTGAAGCATTTCCCTTATGTTTTCTTCTAGTAGTGTGACAGTTTTGAATCATACCCTCAAGTCTATAATTCATTTTGATTTTTTATATGGTGAGAGACAGGAAATTCATTTCCTTTTTTGGCATATCGTTGTCCAGTTTTCCCATCACCTTTTATTGAAGAGGCTGTCCTTTCCCCAATGTATGTTCTTGCCTTTGTCAAAAATCAGTTGGAACCTGATCAACAAAGGGAGGCTCCATCTATGCAAATAATTTAAAAATTAGCTGGGCATAGTGGTCCATGCCTGTGGTCCCAGCTACTTGGGAGTCTGAAGCAGAAGTATCAGCTGAGCCTGGAAAGTCAAGGCTGCAGTAAGCTGTGATTGTGCCACTGCACTTCTGCCTGGACAAGACAGTGAGACCTGGTCCCAAAAATAAATAAATAAATAAGTTGGCTGTTGATATGGTTTAGCTGTGTCCCCACTCAACTCTCATCTTGAATTGTAGCTCCCACATTCCCATGGGAGGGACCCGGGGGGAGGTAACTGAATCATGGGGGCAGATCTTTCCCCACCCTTCATGATTCAATTTGGAGGGAAAAGTTTGGAGGGCTCAGAAGAAGACAGGAGAATGTGGAAAAATTTGGAACTTTCTAGAGACTTGTTGAATGGCTTTGCCCAAAATGCTGGTAGTGATATGGACAATAAAATCCAGGCTGAGGTGGTCTCAGATGGAAATGAGGAACTTTTTGGGAACTGGAGCAAAGGTGACCCTTGTTATGTTTTAGCAAAAACACTGGTGACATTTTGCTCCTGCCCTAGAGATTTGTGGAACTTTGATCTTGAGAGAGGTGATTTAGGATATCTGGCAGAAAAATTTCTAAGCAGCAAAGCACTCAAGGTGGCTTGGGTGCTATTAAAAGCATTCAGTTTAATAAGGAAAGGAGTGCATAAAAATTCAGAAAATTTGCAGCTTGACAATGTGATAAAAAAGAAAATCCCATTTTCTGAGGAGAAATTCAAGCTGCTGCAGAAATGTGCATAAGTACATTTATTTGGCTTCTCATGAGAAGCCAAATGTTAATCCCCAAGACAATGGGGAAAATATCTCCAGTGCATGTCAGAGGTCTTCACAGCAGCCCCTCCCATCACGGGCCTGGAGGCCTAGGAGAAAAAAGTGGTTTCATGGGCTGGGAAGGGTCCCCATGCTGTGTACAGTCTAGGACTTGATGCCCCATGTCCTAGCTGCTCCAGCCATGACTAAAAGGGATCAAAGTACACCTCAGTCCGTGGCTTCAGAGGATGCAAGCCCCAGGCCTTGGCAGGTTCCCTGTGGTGTTTAGCCACAGAATGTCAATGCACAGAAGTCAAGAATTGGGGTTTGGGAACCTCTGCCTAGATTTCAGAGGATGTATGGAAAAGCCTGGATACCCAGGCAGAAGTTTGCTGTAGGGGCAGGGCCCTCATGGAGAACCTCTGCAAGAGCAGTGCAGAAGGGAAATGTTGGAGCCACTACACAGAGTCCCTACTGGGGCACCATCTAGTGGAGCTGTGAGAAGAGGGCCACTTTCCTCCAGAACCCAGAATGGTAGATACACCAACAGCTTGCACTGTTCACCTGGAAAAGCTGCAGACACTCAATGCTAGCCTGTGATAGCAGCTGGGAGGGAGGCTGTACCCTGCAAAGCCACAGGGGCAGAGCTGCCCAAGATGTTGGGAGCCCACCTCTTGCATCAGCGTGACCTGGATGTGAGATATGGAGTCAAAGGAGCTCATTTTGGAGCTGTAAGATTTGACTGCCCTGCTGGATTTCAGACTTGCATGGGGCCTGTAGCCCCTTTGTTTTAGCCAATTTCTCCCATTTGGAATGGCTGTATTTATCCAATACTTGTACCTCCACTGTTTCTAGAAAATAACCACCTTGCCTTTGATTTTATAGGATTACAGGTGGGAAGAGACTTGCCTTGTCTCAGATGAGACTTTGGATTGTGGACTTTTGGATTAATGCTGAAATCAGTTAAGATTTTGGGGGACTGCTGGGAAGGCATGATTGGTTTTGAAATGTGAGGACATGAGATTTGGCAGGGGCCTGGGGCAGAATCATATGATTTGGTTGTGTCCCTACCCAGCTCTCATCTTGAATTGTAGCTCCCACAATTCCCATGTGTTGTTGGAGGGACCTGGTGGGAGATAATTGAATCATGGAGGTGGGTCTTTCCCCTGTTGTTTTTGTGATAGTGAATAAGTCTCACAAGATCTGATGGTTTCATAAGGGGGAGTTTCCCTGCACAAGCTCTCTCTTTGCCTGCTGCCATCCATGTAAGATGTGACTTGCTCCTCCTTATTTTCTCCTATGATTGTGAGGCTTCCCCAGCCAGGTGGAACTGTAAGTTCATTAAACCTCTTTTTCTTCCCAGTCTCGCGCATGTCTTTATCAGCAGCATGAAAACTAATAGAGCTGTCAAAAACATGTGGATTTACATCCAGGTTCTCTACTCTTGGTTCACTCATTTATTGATTTCCGTATGTTGAATCATCTTTGCATCCATGAGGTGAATCCTACTTGATCATGGTGTATTATCTTTTTGATGTGCTGTTGGAGTTGGTTTGCTAGTATTTTATCAAGGATGTTTGCATCTATGCTCATTAGGAATGTTAGCCTGTAGTTTTCTTTTTTTTATTGTATCCTTGTATGGTTTTGGTTTCAGAGTAATGCTGGCCCTTAGAATGAGTTAAGAAGAACTCCCTCTTTAGTTTTTTTGTAATGCTTTGAGAAGAATTGGTATTAATTCTTCTTTAAAATTTCTGCAGAATTCATCAGCGGAGTCATCAGTATTGGGCTTTTATTTATTAGAAGACTTATCATTACTGATTCAATCTCATTACTCATTATTGTTCTGTTCATATTTTCTATTTCTTCCTGATTCACCCTTGTTAAATTATATGTATTCAGTAATATATCCATTTCCTCTGAGTTTTCAAGTTTGTTAGCATATAGTTGTTCATAATAGTCTCTGATGATAATTTGTATTTCTCTGGTATCAGTTGTAATGTCTCTTCTTTCATTTCTGATTTTGTTTATTGGTGTTCTCTCCTTTCTTGGTTAGTGTAGCTATCAGTTTATCAATTTTGTTTATCTTTTCAGAAAACCAACATCAACTTTTCTTAATCTTTTTTTCATTGTTTTTTAGTCTCTATTTCATTAAGTTCTGCTCTGACCTTTGTTATTTATTTTCTTCTACTAATTGTAAGTTTGGATGTTCTTGCTTTTCTGGTTCCTTGGTGTGGATTGTTAGGTTGTTTATTTGAATCTTTCTACATTTTTGATGTGGGCATTTATTGCCATAAAATTATAGCAATAAGCTCTTAGCTGTGCTTTCAGTGGTTATTCAGGAACATGTTTAATTTCTATGTATATGCACAGTTTTCAAAGTTCCTCTTGTTCTTGATTTTTAGCTCTATTGCATTGTAGTCTGAGGAGAACTTGACATAATTTTTATTTTTAAAAATTTGTTGAGACTTGTTTCATGTTCTAACATATGTTCTATCCTGGAGAATGCTTTATGCACTGATGAGAAGATATGTATTCTGCAACTGTTGGATAAAATGTTCTATAAATATTTGTTAGGTCCATTTTTTTTTTAACTTCAGAGGTACATGTGCAGGATGTGCAGGTTTGTTACATAGGTAAATGTTGCCATGGTGGTTTGCTGCACAGATCATCCTATCATCTAGGTATTAAGCCCAGTGTCCATTAGCTATTCTTCCTGATGCTCTCCCTTCCCCCACCCACCCATCCAACAGGGCCCAGTGTGTGTTCCTCCCCACAATGTATCCATGTACTCTCATCATTCAGCTCTCACTTATAAGTGAGAACGTGTGGTGTCTGGTTTTCTGTTCCTGTGTTAGTTTGCTGAGGATAATGGCTTCCAGCTCCATTCATGGGCCCATTTGGTTTAAAGTGCAGTTTAAATCCAAAGTTGCTTTGTTGATTTCCTGTCTAAATGATCTGTCAAATGCTAACAGTGGGCTATTAAAGTCCTCAACTATTATTGTATTGGAGCCTATCTCCCTTTTGAACTAATAATATTTGCTTTATATATCATGGTGCTCTAATGTTGGGTGCATATATATTTAGAATTTTTGTATCCTTTTGCTAATTGATCTATTTAACACAATATTATGATACTCTTTGTCACTTTTTATTGTTTTATACTTAAAACCTGTTTTATCTGATGTAAATATATCTACTGCTTGCTTTTGGTTTCCCTTTGTGTGAAGTATTTTTATCCATTCCCTTTACATTCAGTCTATATATGTCTTTACACCTAAAGTAAGTTTCTTGTAAGCAGCATCTAGTCAAGTTTTTTTTTTAATCCATTTAGCCAATTTATCTCTTTTAAGTGGGAATTTAATTCATTTTCATTCAAGGTTACTATTTATAGCTGAAGACTTATTTCTGTCATTTTATTAATTGTTTTCTGGTTGTTTTGTGTATCTTTTTTCCCTTTATTTTTGTTGTGTTGTTTATCATTGAAGTTTGGTGATTTTCTTTAGTAGTAACATTTGAATTCTTTCTCTGTCTCATTTGTATCTCTGTGAGTTTTACACTGCTAGTGAGTTTTATATTTTTGTGTGTTTTCATAAATGTAGATATTGTCCTTTTGCTTCCAGATGTAGGACTCCCTTAACCATTTCTTGTAGGATCGTTCTAGTGGTGATAAATTCCCTCAGTTTTTGCTTATCTGGGAAAGATTTTATTTATCCTTCATTTTTGAAGGACAGCTTTGTTGTCGTCACTGACAGCTTTTTTTTCCTTTTGGCACTTATATTTATTTATTTATTTTTATATACTTTAAGTTCTAGGGTACATGTGCACAACGTGCAGATTTGTTACATAGGTATACATGCACCATGTTGGTTTGCTGCACCCATTAACTCATCATTTATATTAGGTATTTCTCCTAATGCTGTCCCTCCCCCAGTCCCCCACCCTACTACAGGTCATGCTGTGTGATGTTCCCCACCCTGTGTCCAAGTGTTCTCATTGTTCAGTTCCCACTTATGAGTGAGAACATGTGGTGTTTGGTTTTCTGTCCTTGTGATAGTTAGCTCAGAATGATGGTTTCCAGCTTCATCCATGTCCCTTCAAAGGACATGAATTCATCCTTTTTTATGGCTGCATAGTATTCCATGGTGTATATGTGCCACATTTTCTTAATCCAGTCTATCATTGATGGACATTTGGGTTGATTCCAAGTCTTTGCTATTGTGAATAGTTCCGCCATAAACATACATGTGCATATATCTTTATAGTAGCATGATTTATAATCCTTTGGGTATATATCCAGTAATGGTATTGCTGGGT
This sequence comes from Homo sapiens, assembly GCF_000001405.40. NCBI lineage: Eukaryota > Metazoa > Chordata > Mammalia > Primates > Hominidae > Homo > Homo sapiens. Next base: position 46,289,120 of record NC_000012.12, on the reverse strand, counting down.
CAAATGGTATTTCTAGTTCTAGATCCTTGAGGAATCACCACACTGTCTTCCACAATGGTTGAGCTAATCTACACTCCCACCAACAGCATGAAAGTGTTCCTATTTCTCCACATCCTCTCCAGTCTCTGTTGTTTCCTGACTTTTTAATGATCACCATTCTAACTGGCATGAGATAGTATCTCATTATGGTTTTGATTTGCATTTCTCTGATGCCCAGTGATGATGAGCATTTTTTCATGTGTCTGTTGGTTGCATAAATGTCTTCTTTTGAGAAGTGTCTGTTCATATCCTTTGCCCACTTTTTGATGGGGTTGTTTCTTTCTTATAAATTTGTTTAAGTTCTTTGTAGATTCTGGATATTAGCCCTTCGTCAGATGGGTAGATTGCAAAAATTTTCTGCCATTCTGTAGGTTGCCTGTTCACTCTGATGGCAGTTTCTTTTGCCATGCAGAAGTTCTTTAGTTTAATTAGATCCCATTTGTCTATTTTGGCTTTTGTTGCCATTGCTTTTGGTGTTTTAGTCATGAAGTCTTTGCTCATGCCTATGTCCTGAATGGTATTGCCTAGGTTTTCTTCTAGGGTTTTTATGGTTTTAGGTCTAACATTTAAGTCTTTAATCCATCTTGAATTAATTTTTGTGTAAGGTGTAAGGAAGGGATCCAGATTCAGCTTTCTACAAATGGCTAGCCAGTTTTCCCAGCACCATGTATTAAATAGGGAATTCTTTCCCCATTTCTTGTTTTTGTCAGGTTTGTCAAAGATCAGATGGTTGCAGATGTGTGGTGTTATTTCTGAGGTGTCTGTTCTGTTCCATTGGTCTATATCTCTGTTTTGGTACCGGTACCATGCTGTTTTGGTTACTGTAGCCTTGCAGTATAGTTTGAAGTCAGGTAGCGTGATGCCTCCAGCTTTGTTCTTTTTGCTTAGGATTGTCTTGGCAATGCAGGCTCTGTTTTGGTTCCATATGAACTTTAAAGTCGTTTTTTCCAATTCTGTGATGAAAGTCATTGCTAGATTGATGGGGATGTTATTGAATCTATACAATACCTTGGGCACTATGGCATTTTCATGATATTGATTCTTCCTATCCATGAGCATGGAGTGTTCTTCCATTTGTTTGTGTCCTCTTTTATTTCGTTGAGCAGTGGTTTGTAGTTCTCCTTGAAGAGGTCCTTCACATCCCTTGTAGGTTGGATTCCTAGGTATTTTATTCTCTTTGTAGCAATTATGAATAGGAGTTCACTCATGATTTGGCTCTCTGTTTGTCTGTCTGTTATTGGTGGATAGGAATGGTTGTGATTTTTGCACATTGATTTTGTATCCTGATACTTTGCTGAAGTTGCTTATCAGCTTAAGGAGATTTTGGGCTGAGACAATGGGGTTTTCTAAATATACAGTTATGTCATCTGCAAACAGGGACAATTTGACTTCCTCTTTTCCTAATTGAATATGCTTTATTCCTTTCTCTTGCCTGATTGCCCTAGCCAGAACTTCCAACATTATGTTGAGTAGGAGTGGTGAGAGAGGGCATCCCTGTCTTGTGCCAGATTTCAAAGGGAATGCTTCCAGTTTTTGCTCATTCAGTATGATATTGGCTGTGGGTTTGTCATAAATAGCTCTGATTGTTTTGTGGTGGGTTCCATCAATACCTAGTTTATTGAGACATTTTAGCATGAAGGGCTGTTGAATTTTGTCAAAGGCCTTTTCTGCATCTATTGAGATAATCACGTGGTTTTTGTTATTGGTTCCGTTTATATGCTGGATTACGTTTATTGATTTGTGTATGTTGAACCAGGCTTGCATCCCAGGGATGAAGCCCACTTGATCATGGTGGATAAGCTTTGTGATGTGCTGCTGGATTCAGTTTGCCAGTATTTTATTGAGGAATTTTGCATCAATGTTCATCAGGGATATTGGTCTAAAATTCTCTTTGTTTGTTGTGTCTCTGCCAGGCTTTGGTATCAGGATGATGCTGGCCTCATAAAATTAATTAGGGAGGATTCCCTCTTTTTCTATTGATTGGAATATTTCAGAAGGAATGGTACCAGCTCCTCTTTGTATCTCTGGTAGAATTCAGCTGTGAATCCATCTGGCCTTGGACTTTTTTTGGTTGGTAGGCTATTGGTTATTGCCTCAGTTTCAGATCCTGTTATTGGTCTATTCAGAGATTCAACTTCTTCCTGGTTTAGTCTTGGGAGGGTGTATGTGTCCAGGAATTTATTCATTTCTTCTAGATTTTCTAGTTTATTTGTGTAGGGGTGTTTATAGTATTCTCTGATGGTAGTTTGTATTTCTGTGGGATCAGTGGTGATATCCCCTTTATCATTTTTTATTGCATCTACTTGATTCTTCTCTCTTTTCTTCTTTATTAGTCTTGCTAGTGGTCTATCAATTTTGTTGATCTTTTCAAAAAACCAGCTCCTGGATTCGTTGACTTTTTGAAGGGTTTTTTGTGTTTCTATCTCTTTCAGTTCTGCTCTGATCTTAGTTATTTCTTGCCTTCTGCTAGCTTTTGAATGTGTTTGCTCTTGCTTCTCTAGTACTTTTAAATGTGATGTTAGGGTGTCAATTTTAGATCTTTCCTGTTTCTTTTGTGGGCACTTAGTGCTATAAATTTCCCCCTACACACTGCTTTAAATGTGTCCCAGATATTCTGGTTCGTTGTGTCTTTGTTCTCATTCGTTTCAAAGAACCTCTTTATTTCTGCCTTCATTTCATTACTTACCCAGTAGTCATTCAGGAGCAGATTGTTCAGTTTCCATGGAGTAGTGTGGTTTAGAGTGAGTTTCTTAATCCCGAGTTCTAATTTGATTGCACTGTGGTCTGAGAGACAGTTTGTTATAATTTCTGTTCTTTTACATTTGCTGAGGAGTGCTTTACTTCCAACTATGTGGTCAATTTTAGAATAAGTGCAATGTGGTGCTGAGAAGAATGCATATTCTCTTGATTTGGGGTGGAGAGTTCTGTAGATGTCTATTAGGTCCGCTTGGTGCAGAGCTGAGTTCAATTCCTGGGTATCCTTGTTAATCTTCGGTCTCGATCTGTCTAATATTTACAGTGGGGTGTTAAAGGTTGCCATTATTATTGTGTGGGAGTCTAAGTCTCTTTGTAGGTCTCTAAGGACTTGCTCTATGAATCTGGGTGCTCCTGTATTGGGTACATATATATTTAGGATAGTTAGCTCTTCTTGTTGAATTGATCCCTTTACCATTACGTAATGGCCTCCTTTGTCTCTTTTGACCTTTGTTTGTTTAAAGTCTGTTTTATCAGAGACTAGGATTGCAACCCTTGGTTTTTTTTGCTTTCCATTTGCTTGGTAGATCTTCCTCCATCCCTTTATTTTGAAGTTGTGTGTGTCTCTGCACATGAGGTGGGTCTCCTGAATACAGCACACTGATGGGTCTTGAGTCTTTTTCCAATTTGCCAGTCTGTGTCTTTTAATTGGGGCATTTAGCCCATTTACATGTAAGGTTAATATTGTTATGTGTGAATTTGATCCTGTAATTATGATGTTAGCTGGTTATTTTGCTCGTTAGTTGATGCAGTTTCTTCCTAGCATTGATGGTCTTTACAATTTGGCATGATTTTGTAGTGGCTGGTACTGGTTGTTCCTTTCCATGTTTAGTGCTTCCTTTAGGAGCTCTTGTAAGGCAGGCCTGGTGGTGACAAAATCTCTCAGCATTTGCTTGTCTGTAAAGGATTTTATTTCTCCTTCACTTATGAAGCTTAGTTTGGCTGGGTATAAAATTCTGGGTTGAAAATTCTTTTTTTAAGAATGTCGAATATTGGCCCCCACTCTCTTCTGGCCTGTAGAGTTTCTGCTGAGAGATCTGCTGTTAGTCTGATGGCCTTCTCTTCGTGGGTAACTCAACCTTTCTCTCTGGCTGTGCTTAACATTTTTTCCTTCATTTTAACCTTGGTGAATCTGACAATTATGTGTCTTGGGATTGCTCTTCTTGAGGACCATCTTTGTGGTGTCTGCTGTGTTTCCTGAATTTGAATGTTGGCCTACCTTGCTAGTTTGGGGCAGTTCTCCTGAATAATATCCTGAAGAGTGTTTTCCAACTTGGTTCCATTTTCCCTGTCACTTTAAGGTACACCTGTGAGATGTAGATTTGGTCTTTTCACATAGTCCAGTGTTTCTTGTAGGCTTTATTCATTTCTTTTTACTCCTTTTTCTCTAACCTTCTCTTCTGGCTTTATTTCATTCATTTGATCTTCAATCACTGATACCTTTTCTTCCACTTAATCGAATTGGCTATTGAAGCTTGTGCATGCGTCACGTAGTTCTTGTGCCATGGTTTTCAGCTTCATCAGCTGATTTAAGGTCTTCTCTACACTGTTTATTCTAGTTAGCCATTCGTCTAATGTTTTTTCAAGGTTTTTAGCTTCCTTGCAATGGTTTTGAACAACCTCCTTTAGCTTGGAGAAGTTTGTTATTATCAACTTTATGAATCCTACTTCTGTCAACTCATCAAACTCATTCTCTGTCCAGCTTTGTTCTGTTGCTGGCAAAGAGCTGCCATCCTTAGGAGAAGTGGTGCTCTGGGTTTTAGACTTTTCAGCTTTTCTGCTCTGGTTTCTCCCCATCTTTGTGGTTTTATCTACCTTTAGTCTTCGATGTTGGTGACCTACAGATGGGGTTTTGGTGTGGATGTCCTTTTTGTTGATGTTGATGATATTCCTTTCTGTTTGTTAGTTCTCCTTCTTACAGTCAGGTCCCTCAGCTGCAGGTCTGTTGGGGTTTGCTGGAGGTTCTTCCCAGACGCTGTTTGCCCAGGTATCACCAGCAGAGGCTGCAGAACAGCAAATATTGCTTCCTGATCCTTCCTCTGGAAGCTTTGTCCCAGAGGGGCATCCTCCTGTATGAGGTGGCAGTCGGCCTCTACTGGGAGGTGTCTCCCAGTTAGGCTACACAGAGGTCAGGGACCCACTTGAGGAGGCAGTCTGTCTGTTCTCAGAGCTCAAACACCATGCTGGGAGAATTCCTGCTCTCTTCAGAACTGTCAGACAGGGACGTTTAAGTCTGCAGAAGTTCCTGCTGCCTTTTGTTCAGCTATGCCCTGTCCTCAGTGGTGGAATCAACAGAGGCAGCAGGCCTTGCTGAGCTGCGGTGGGCTCCGCCCAGTTTGAGCTTCCATGGCTGCTTTGTTTACTTACTCAAGCCTCAGCAATGGCAGACACCCCTATCCCTCCAGCCTGCTGCTTCACAGGTCAATCTCAGACTGCTGTGTTAGCAGTGAGTAAGGCTCCATACATGTGGGACCTGCCAAGCCAGGTGTGGCATATAAACTCCTGGTGTGCCATTTGCTAAGACCATTGGAAAAAGCTCAGTATTTGGTGGGAATGTCCCATTTTTCCATGTACAGTCTGTCACGGGTTCCCTTGGCTAGGAAAGGGAAATCCCCTGACCCCTTGCACTTCCCGGATGAGGCGATGCCCCGCCCTGCTTTGGCTTGCCCTCCATGGGCTGCACCTACTGTCCAAACAGTCCCAGTGAGATGAATCAGGTACCTTGATTGGAAACGCAGAAATTACCCTTCTTCTGCATCAATCACGCTGGGAGCTGCAAACTGGAGCTGTTCCTATTCGGCCATCTTGGAATGGCCTTCCCTTGGCTCTTTAATATATCATTCCATTCTCTCCTAGCCTGTGAAGTTTCTGCTGAGAATTTGCTGTTAGTCTGATTGGTATTCCCTTTTCTGTGATTTGACACTTTTTTCTTGCTGTTTTTAAGAGTTCTTCCTTTGTCTTTGACTTTCAACAGTTTGACTGTAATGTGCATTTAAAAAGACCTTTTTGAGTTCAATCTATTTGAGGTTCTTTGACTTTCTTGTGTCTAGATGTTTATATCTCTGCAAGACTTGAGAATTTTTCACCTATGATTTTGTTAAATAGATTTTCTGTGCCTTTGTCCATCTCTTTTCTTATGGAACATTATAATTTGATTTTTGGTCACTTTATGGTGTCCCACATGTCACATAGGGTGTCTATGATTTTCCACTCCTTTTCTTTCTTCCTTTCTTCTTTTTTTTTTGTCTGACTGAGTTATTTCAAAAGATTTGTCTTCAAGTTCAGAAAGTCTTTCTTCAGTTTAATCTAGTCTATTGTTGAGGTTATCAATTGTATTTTTTATTTTATTTATTGAATTCTTTAGTTCTAGGATTTCTGTTTTTGTTTTTCTTTTTTAATGACATCTATCTCTTTGGTGAATTGCTTATTCACATAATGAATTGTTTTTCTGCTTTCTTCATGTTATTTATCTGTGTTCTCTGGTATCTCACTGAGCTTCTTTATTATTTTAAATCCTGTTTCATGCATTTCATAAATTTTTTGATGGAACCTGCTACTGGAGAATTATTGTGTTTCTCTGAATTTATCTTGTTTTGTGGCTTTTCATTTTCATTTTTGTACTTACATTGATATCTACTCAATCTGTTATGACAGTCACCTCATCTAATTTTTTGGTCTGGCTTTCACAGGTAAATATTTTTTCCTGTAGATGTATCTATAGTGTTGGTTGGGTAGGGCACTTTAGCTTTGATTCTGGGTGGATGCAGCAGTGTAATCTCTGTATGATTTATTTGGCTGTAGACAGCATCATGTGATTTCCTCAGTGGCTTAGGCTACAGTTGTTAGTGGAGGCTGTAATGAGGCTTTGCTGGGGATGGGGATACCAAATGGACCTGTTCTAAGGCCCCAGTAGTGGTGGAAGTAGGCCAACATGCCTTTCCTTGAGCTCTTGGGTACAGTTTTAGCTGGTTCTGGGGGGACAATTATTGGGCCTCAAGGTTGCTTGTTTATGTACCAGCAATGACAGGGGTAAGTTGGGTGGGTGGGCAGGTTCTTGGGCCCCTGGACAGTATGCATGGCATCAGCAATTGCAGTAGTGGTGGCAGGCCAACCCTTAGGCTCCCAGTCAGCATACATTAGCTTCAATGGTGGCAGCAATGGGCTGAGTGGGCCTGTTCTCAGCCCTTGTGGTATGGTGCAGGTGGGTGCTGGTGGTGGTGGTGGCAACATGCTGGGCAGGCCCATCCTCAGGCCCCTGGGATGTGTGAGTGCATGTGTGTGTGTGTGTGTGTCTATGTAGTGGTGGTATGCAGGATGTGACAATCCCCATCCCTCTGGACAACATGCTTGTGCAGGTGGGGGTTTGAGTAGTACATGTGGGGTGGGCTTGTCCTCAGGCCCCTGATAATGCGCTCAGGCATGGGCTGTGGTGGGCAGGGTGAAGTGATTTCTAGGCCCCTCAGATAGCATGCCTGGGTGCTGGCAGCAGGCAGTCTGGGCCTGTTATGAGGCCCCTTGATGGTGTAGGCACATATCAGAAGTGGCAGGCAGGGTAGGTTGATCCCCGGGCCCCCAGATGCCACACTCAGGGAATGCAGGGAGCTATGTCAGATAGAAGTGGGCTGTCCTCAGGTCCCTTAATGGTGCACACAGGGGCAACTGTGGTGGCTGGGTTTGGGCATTCTTCAGGCTCCTCTATGGCATTGCATGCTTGGATGCTGGCAGCAGGCAGTCTGGGCCTGTGTTAGGCCCCCAGATGCATGTGTCAGTATGACAGGCAGGACAGGTTGATCCCTAGGGCCCTGAACACTTAGGCACTGTAGAGGGTAGCACAGGGCAGGGTAAGCCTGTTCTCAGGTACCCCAATGGTGCACATAGGCCAGGCTTGGTGGGCAGAGCAAGGCAATCCCTAGGCACCTAGTGGTGGTGGCAGTGAGCAGCGTAAGCCTGTCTTCAGGCCCCAGGATGGCATTTGGGCAGGTCAGTCCTCAGGCCCACTGCAGGCATGTGCAGGTGCATGGCAGGCCCACTACTGGGGGTGTGGCAGAGCAGAGTTGCTGTCAGTGGCCATGGCCTTAGACTCTGGGGAATGCAAACTTCAGCTCTTTTTGTCCTGGTGGCAACTTCTCTGGTGTGCTATGCTGCCCATTTTCTTGGGTGTAGGACACCGTGGGCTAGAGTGCTAGGGACCTGGCCACACTGCTGGGTCCAGTCAGCATTGTGCCACTGCAGCCTTCTAGGCAGACTTGGGAGGGGGTCAGTAGGGCTCCATGAATGCGGAGATGCAGGGATTGTTGGATCCCAGGGCAGGATGCAGTCTTGTGGGGGCTGGGCTCTCAAAATGGCATGGTGCTGCAGCTGCTTGGGTTTTTTTGTTTGTTTGTTTTTGTTTTTGAGACAAAGTCTCACCTGTTGTTAAGGATGGAGTGCAGTGGTGCAATCATGGCTCACTGCAGCCTCGATCCCCCGGGCTCAAGCAATCCTCCCACCTCAGCTTTCCAAATAGCTGGGATTACAGGTGCACACCACCACATCTGGCTAATTTTTGTATTTTTTGTAGAGATGGGGTTTCTCCATGTTGCCCACGCTATTCTCAAACTCCTGGGGTCAACAATCTGCCCACCTTAGCCTCTCAAAGTGCTGGAATTACAGGCATGAGCCACTGCACCTGGCTAGCTGCTTGGGTTTTGAGGGATGTGTGGGACCCAGCACGAACTATCTGTCTGGAACAATGCTGTGGTATGGACCTCAGGCAGTTCCCTACACTAGTCTCAGGGCCTGTGAGGGCTGAGGGGCTTTCCTATGGCTAGCACTGTAGTAGTCCATGGTGGGAATGTGGACCACTGGGAGTCTCTCACTTAACCTTTTGCTGCACCGAGGAGCATCTCCTGGCTCCCAGCTGATGCCAGCCGGACCAGCTGCCTTGCTTCTCTTTCCTTCGATGCCTCAGATGTTCCCTGTCACTTTCCTGATGAATTCCAGTGTTCTCTCATAGACACGCTGTTTGATGTGTGATTATCTACTTGCTGTTTAGGTCCTTTCTTTAGGAGGAGGTGAGTACCTGGTACTTCTGTCAGCCATCTAGAAGCCACTCCTCCGTATCAGGTATTTTTAAATGTTGCTCTTTTAACCCTGTAATTCTACTTCCAGAAATTTATCTTATGGACATAATCAGAGACAGGGACAAAGTATTACACACACTTATACAAAATGAAAATCTGAAATTAATAATTATTGTAAAACTATATGGTAGAATATTTTGTAGTTATTAAAATTTATGTTTTTGAAAAATTTTAATGATATAATAAAATGATCATAATTTAATGTCATATACAAATCTGAAATTGGACATGATTCTGAATGTAAAAAAGACATGCATATAAACAAAATGAACTAAAAATCAACAATGGTAACTGCAGTATATAAATTTATAGATGGTTTTGATTTTCTTTTTTACATTTTGCTGCATTTTCCAAGTTTTCTACAGTGAGAATAAATTAATTTTGCGAGTTGGTGTGGGTACTTAAAGAGTGAATGGGAAATAAAAGTTTTGAAACTTATATTATTAACTATTCTTTGGAAAATCTTGGCTCTTAAATAGAAGAAATACAAAAGCCATAGAGAAAAATGTAAAATCAAGGGATATTTCCTCTCTTTCTTTTCTTGTCTCCCCTTTCTTCTCTTCTCCCCATTTCTTTCTTTCCTTTTTAATGAGAGGTTTGACTACTTTACAGTCAATAGAAATGAGGATGAACATATAAAAGCAAAAAATAAATAAAAGGAGGAAGTTTTCAGAGGAGACATGAATCAGATAAAGAATGTTGCAAAAGGAATTAGCTTGGAATACATTCATTGAATAAATGAATAAATAAACAAATGAAAAAATGCCAAGCTGTAAGATGGTTTTCTAGCATTCTGTTCCTTTTCATCACTGAAAAGGAAAGAGCAGTGCAGTTCTTTTTTGAGCTAAGTGACAAGATTGAATAAAGAGAAATAATTGTTGACTTCATTATTAAGTTGATTTTGTGAAATAGTTCATATCTGAACCACAGTGTTATTCCTAAATACTAATTGTTATAAAAATAGCAAGGAGAAACAACAGAACAAATTAACTTGTAACTTTTCTTTTAAAGTACAAAATTTAATTAGACTCCATTTACAAATGTTCATTTCTTTTTTTTTTTTTTTTTTTTTTTTGAGACGGAGTCCCGTTCTGTCACCAGGCTGCAGTGCAGTGGTGCGATCTCGGCACACTGCAACCTCTGCCTCCCAGGCTCAAGCGATTCTCCTGCCTCAGCCTCCCAAGTAGCTGGGATTACAGGCACATGTCACCACGCCTGGCTAATTTTTGCATTTTTAGCAGAGACGGGGTTTCACCATGTTGGCCAGGATGGTCTCGATCTCTTGACCTCATGATCCGCCCACCTCGGCCTCCTGAAGTGGTGGGATTACAGGTGTGAGCCACTGCACCTGGCCACAAATGTTCATTTCATACCAAGAAAGTGACTTGGAGAATGCTGACACTTATCCAGACGATTCTGGAAGCAAAAACCACACTTACTCTTAAGGAAGGTAATCTTTAGGTGATTGGGGTTCTGAATTTTCCAGATAATTTGCATAAATTAGAAAACTGTTAAATGAGGTATGTTACTTTTTAAATACAGACTGAGGTTTCTTTTTTCCTTTAAAAATGACATTCAATAGGCACTTACTCTTGATGTTTTAAACTTGTAATTTATTCATACAAGATTCCAAAAATAGTTACAGTTCCAAATATTGCTATTCATTTGATTTATGCATATAGCCTACTAAACTTTAAAAATTTAGCTAAATGTATATTTGATATTTCATATTTTTTCAATTCTTCCTCCTCTAAGGACTTGAAATTTAAAAAAAATAAAAGAATTAAAGGTATTTAACTGTAAAAATATTCTGTTTACTCATTTATTCATTCAACAAATATTTATTGAGCTTCTGTTATGTGCTATGTGCTGGGAAACCATTAAGAACATGGCATCTACCTTTGTGAAACTTGCAGATTACTGGGGAAGACAGCGTCTGAATAATTTCAATGTAGGGTAACACATAAGCTAGTTTGGGTTTCAGAAATGGCCTTCTGTGAAAGTAATTTCTAATCTGTAGTAGAGACATTAGGTGCCCAGAAGTGGATGGAGGGAGTCCAGTTAGGAGACTCTTGTGGAAGGCTAAGAAAAGGTTACAAAGTGGACTGCAGGGTGAAAATATTGGAACTTCTGTTTAGGTTACTAGGTTGATGGTGGCCCCCTTCAGCCTGTACATCAGATGGCTCCCTGTCACTTACAGTACTCAAGGTGTCTTGAAAAAGACACAAAGGAATACAGTCGTGCCCTCACTGATTTGTTCTCTTTGGCAGATTTCAATGTATTACAGTTCTGTGTGCTTAGTTGAGGGAATTTATAAATTATATTATCTAGTTTAGTGTGTCTTCCCAAATAGACAAGTAGAGTTAAAAGATTCCTCTAAACTTCAGATTTAAAAAATAATAATAACATGAGCATAAAGAAAGAAGAAAAAGTAGAACTGACACTTCCAGTCCTAATAAGAGCTCTTTTGTCAGCCACAATGTCAGGTATAGCAATGGCCCTCTAACTGTGGAAAAGAATCTGTCAAAACAAATTCAGAATTATGAAGTAGGTTTCATGGGTTCACATTCATAATTATTAAGGATGACCTTCATTTAAGTGTACATTTGCAGACTAGCAATGAAAAATAAGTAAATCTCTGTAAATTAGTGAATGGGATTGAGAAATGAATGGCTTGATTTGGGAAGTATAGCCAATAGGACACTGCCTCCATTGGGTCTCTGTGAGGTCCCTTTTCAGCTATGACAGCCATTACATGAAAGAATCAAAATAAGCCAGAGTTGGAAGTAGACTTGTGAATTGCTGTATCAGAGAGTATTAAACTAAGATTTAAAAAAATGATATAGTATAGTGAAGCAAATTTCTCTAACATGATAATATCTTAGTGACAATTAGGAATATATGTTTAGTAATATAATAAAGTATTGTTATCAAATCAAAAATGTAAAATCTTACCATTTGGATTTTTAATTTTTTGTGAATGTTTTTAATGTATATAATAAATAGGACAGTAATACATATATATTATTGTCAAATACATACATGTACATATTATGTTGGGGAGGTATAATGATGTGGTATAGTTTTAATAAGATGTGTTATCAGTGCCCTTTGAGGGAAACTTCCCCCACAGTGAGCTGTTGGAGGCCCATGCCAGTGAAGGTCGTGAGGATGGAGGAAAGAGAACAGATGTCAGAAATATTTAGGAGATGAAGTGATAGGACTCATGATATTCCTCTAAAAATGTACGCTGGATCATGTCCATCACCTGCTCCTTATTAAAATCCTTAGCATAAACAGAATAGAGTCCAAACAAGGGTCACGTCCTCAGGGAAGTCTTCCTTGATTCCCAGTTCAGAACATGGTCTTCTGTTTCTCTCACAAGAGTCATGCTCCTTTCTGCAGAGCACTTATCTCCACCTGTAACTTGTACATTCACTGGCAAGATCATTTGAGTAATATCGGTCTCTCACTCTAACTCCAAGCTTCACGAAAGACTAGCAGAAGGCCTGGCACTTAGTAAATGTTACTCAAAAGAGGGAATTAATTAGATGTGAAGAGTGAAGGGGATGAGCCAAAATACCCCCATCCTTCTAGCTTGAGCAACTATGCCCATGGTGGTGCCATTTCCCAATATGGTGTTTATGGGAAAAGAAGAGGGTTTGAGTTGTGAAAAAAAAAAAACAAAAAAACAATGATTTCAATTTTAGACATGTTACATTTGAATCAAAAACTTTGAACATTTTATTTTAAGAACATACAAATATGTGTATAAATAACTATAAATATATATCAACAGAAGACTATCAATTCTAAATCTCATTAAATACCCCTTTTGGGATTATGAAATAGCTTCATATGCCTAAAATATAACCAAATAAAGAGCCCTTCAAAATAAGGAACACTGAATATTATGTGGTGTTTCTTATTTTAAGAACAATCATGGGCCAGGCGCAGTGGTTCATGCCTGTAATCCCAGCACTTTGGGAGGCCAAGGCAGGTGGATCACCTGAGGTCAGGAGTTCGAGACCAGCCTGACCAATATGGTGAAATCCCCGTCTCTACTAAAATTACAAAAATTAGCCGGGTGTGGTGGTGTACTCCTGTAGTCCCAGCTACTCGGGAGGCTGAGGCAGGAGAAACACTCGAACCCAGGAGGCAGAGGTTGCAGTGAGCCGAGATCGCACCACTGCACTCCAGCCTGGGCAACAGAGTGAGACTCTGTCTAAAAAAAAAAAAAAAAAACCATGTAGAATGGAAGCTTATTTTAGTAAAGCATGTTACTCTACTGAAGTAATAAATAGAATTCTTCTTCCTAAATACTGCCAGCGGAAAAAAAAAATTTTTTTAATGCTTCTTCCCAAAAGGTACCTTTTCTTTTCTTTTTCTTTCTTTCTCTTTCTTTTTTTTTTTTTTTTTTGAGACGGAATTTTGCTCTTTTTGCTCAAGCTGGAGTGCAATGGCATGATCTCGGCTCACCGCCACCTCCACCTCCTGAGTTTAAACGATTCTCCTGCCTCAGCCTCCCAAGTAGCTGGCATTACAGGCATGTGCCACCACACCTGGCTAATTTTGTATTTTTAGTAGAGAAGGGGTTTCTCCATGTTGGTCAGGCTGGTCTTGAACTCCCTACCTCAGGTGATCCGCCCGCCTCAGCCTCCCAAAGTGCTGGGATTACAGGAGTAAGCCACCGCGCCTGGCCTCCCAAAAGGTACCTTTTCAACAGAAAAGACAAAAACCATGTTTTTGCCTAGCAAGATCTCAGTATAACACAGCGCCCCCTGAGAGTATGCCTTGAACATCCTGGGATGATCCAGCCCTGGTCCTTACCTGAGAGGTCATACTATGCATTTGTGACTTGTTTCAGATATTCCTGTCTTCTGATCTTGTTTTCTCATTTGCATCTTCACTTTGCTTGATGCCTTTCATCACTTTCCTATCGACTTTGTTTCTCTTTGTCTTGGATGAAGATCCTTTTTCCAGCTGTATCACCTTTGGATGTCCACTTATAAATGAGAAAGTAAGGATTATCACACAGGATCAGAACTAAGGAACAGTCAGCCCTGTATCCTATTTCTCAAAGTATCTCTAAGGGCTTATGGAAGTGTTACAGCTGCCCTCAAGTCTACTCAAATGCATATTTAATTTGGACTGTAAATTTATGGATTTATGTTATACTTGCTTTGGAGAAACATTTTAAACATGCTGTTTACCTTTACTTGACTCATTCCAAAGCCTGTGCTTGTAGATCCTGTGTTATTAGGAAACTACTTTGTGCATAATTTTTAGGGTATAGAGTCCCAGAAGTGACACCAATGGTATCTAAGTTCTTCCTACTTATTGCCAAACTGATTTCCAGTAATAATAATTATTAATGACTGAATACTTAAGATATATTGTTAATTATTTTTAATGCTTTACATGTATTAACATATATATTTCACAAAGCCTTATGAAGTAGGTATTATTGTCTATTTCCATTTTAAATATGAAGAAACTGAAGCACAGAGAAGTTAAGTAACTTGCCCAATGTCACAAAGCTAACAGGCTGTAAGAGCCAAGATTAGAACTCAGCAAATTTGGCCCCAGAGCCCACATTCTTAACCCCTAAATTTGCTACCTCACAAAAAGTGGTACCAATTTATATTGCCACCATTAGTAAATACAAATGCTATTCTCCATTTTGGAACACTTCCACTGTTTTTTTTTTTTTTGGGATGGAGTTTCACTTTTGTTGCCCAGGCTGGAGTGCAATGGCGTGATCTTGGCTCATCGCAACCTCTGCCTCCTGGGCTCAATCAATTCTCCTGCCTCAGCCTCCTGAGTAGCTGGGATTACAGGCATGCACCACTACATCCAGCTAATTTTGTATTTTTTTAGTAGAGACAGGGTTTCTCCATGTTGGTCAGGCTGGTCTCAAACTCCAGACTTCGGGTGATCCGCCCGCCTCAGCCTCCCAAAGTGCTGGGATTACGGGGATGAGCCACCGCGCCCGGCCCACTTCTACTTCTTAATTAACACATTCTTATAGGTTCAAAACTTATCTTTCCCACCTTAAAGTTAAGATTGAGAGTTGAATTGGAGGCCTAACTCTTCTTTAATACCTTCTCTCTCCTCATTCCCACTGTAGGAGAAATGGGAGTGGAGGTGTGGGCTTAACAGCTGTTTCAGCATGAAGTGAACATAATAGAATATTTTGTGCCTATAAACTTGGACTTTGAAACTTAATTGCCCCATTTTTATTTCTGCAAAGTGTGCAAAATAATAACAGGTACCATTTATTGGACACTTATTATATACCAAGCATTGTGCTTAGGTATTCTGTAGGCATTGAGTCATCTGATCACCAGATGGATATCTGTATTAGTCCATTCTTGCATTGCTTTATAAATCACCCAGTCTCAGAAACACCTGAGACTGGGTGATTTGTAAAGAAAAGAGGTTTAATTGACTCACAGATCGGCAGGCTGTACAGGAAACATGGGAGCATCTGCTTCTGGGGAGGCCTCAGGGAGCTTTTACTCGTAGCAGAAGCCAAAGCAGGAGCAGGCACTTCACATGGTGAAAGCAGGAGCCAGAGAGTGAGAACAACCAGATCTCCAGAGAACTCACTCACTATCATGAGGAAAGCACACAAGGGGATGGTGCTAACCCATACATCAGAAATCTGCCCCCATGATCCAGTCACCTCCCACCAGGCCCTACTCCAACATTAGGAGTTACATTTCGATATGAGATTTGTGTGGGGACACACGTCCAAACTATGTCCATATCATTTCCCCCATTTTGCAACAAGCTAGGGAGTTGCACTCACAGTTGACCTGCAGAATGTTGCATATCAGACAAGTTAGACATTAAACTTCCAGGACTGATTATTTGGTCCTGGGTCTTTAGTTAACTTGAACAAATGTCACAGTATTGCCATACAGTTGCAATTCCTAATAAACTCCACTCCCAGCTCCCCTAACAGATAAAAAATAAATAAGTGACCTTACAAATATGACTCAGGCCAAAATCAGAGACAGCAGACATTTTTAAAGCATCTCGGGTCAGGTATGGTGGTTCAGGCCTGTAATCCTAGTATTTTTGGGAGGCCGAGGCAGGAGCGTGGCTTGAGGCCAAGAGGTTGAGACCAGACTAGACAACAAAATGAGAATCTGTTTCTACAATAATAATAATAAAGAATAACCAGGCATAGTGGCACGCACCTGTAGTCCCAGCTACTCAGAAAGCTGAGGCGGGAAGATCCCTGATTCCATTTGAGGCTGCAGCGAGCTATTATGATTGAACCACTGCACTCCAACCTGGGCAACAGAATGAGACCTTGTCTCTAAAATTAATTAACTAATAAGATAATAAAAGATAGTTTTGTTCTGGGATTTTAATTTAACTTCAGTTTAGAATCAGTGGGGGTATTTGACCTCTTGCAAGAACCAATTTTCAATCTGGTGAGGTAGAATGTTCATTTCAATGGTGGAAGAGGCAACAACTGCCCCTGACACAGTGCTACCCACCAAGGAATGTTAGGGCACACAGTGCCATGTATCTGCAGAAGGCTGACCAACACAATTTGGGAGCTCTTTTAATTGCAAATGCGCTTTTTCCTATGGCTGCTTTACTAATTTCTAGTGTCAAAATATTGTCATCTATGGATGAGATTCAAAGAACATCAAGGATGATAAAAAGGGTTAATCAGGCAAAGAAATGTGAAAGTCAAGGAAAACCAGTAATCTTAAAGACCATTTGTTGTTTAGGGTAGACCCTATAAATAGGAACAAAAGACTGCAGAATAAACAATTTATTTTCTAGTGAGATTGGATTTGTTCATCTAACAGCTGCAGTGTTTTCTGTTACAAGTAGGAGATATGCAGGACACTTGTTCTGAGATAATCTCACCAGCTGACTTTCCTACTTTTTCATCATCGTTAAAAATCAGATTTTCCACTGATAGTCCTTCACAGATTTTTAAAAAACACTGTATTCAGAAAATAGTTTTGATCTTATTACCCAAAAATTCTTATACAAGAAGACTGCTGGTATCAAACCAGATGTATTTGGAAAGCTTTGAACACCAGTGCAGGAAAACACATATTCTCTGTAAGCGCACAGCTGGTAGTGGCCCCTTCTGCAGCTGTCCTACTGGGCAACCCAGGTAGGGAGCAAGTGCAACCCGGGTGAGTACAGGGTGAAGCTGGGATGAGAGCAGATGTGGCTTAAGCTCAGGCTGAATCCTCTTTGGGGTATAATTGATTTTTCTTCACAAAGCTGCCCCACCTTCCTGGAACCATACAAAAACAAGCTATGGGGGCTACAAGAAAACTCTCAGGTGACCTAAAGCTACCCAATTCTATTTTCATAGTACAAATTCCTTCCCTGGCATCACTTTCAGAGCAGATACAGAATTTTCTCAGTTCCATAGGGCAGTCTGCAGTCAAACCTGGTAATGTGTCCTGAATACCTTAATAACATTGGAAATCTGTTCAAATGGGAAAGGTCCACAAATAACATTAGATACTATCGACAAGTCTCTTGGACCTCACAACCCTATTACTGAGAAAACTAACTCCCTGGACTCTACTGAAATAGGGCAGTGGTTCCTATTCAGAGACAGAGTGGCCCGAGACCCCTTCCACCCACTAACCCTCCAAAGATGGTTATTCCAGAATCAGGGAACGTTTTAGATCCAGCCACAGAAAACTGGCTTACCAGTCAGCTCTGGATGCAAGATTTGGATGTGCCACTTAGGGCTGTGTGGACTTGGGATAAATTCCCTAACCTTTGAGTCAGGGATTAGGATAGGCTGCCCTATCAGGAATGTCATGAGAATTAAACGAGAGACCATCTGTGAAGTGTTTAACCTG
This sequence comes from Homo sapiens, assembly GCF_000001405.40. NCBI lineage: Eukaryota > Metazoa > Chordata > Mammalia > Primates > Hominidae > Homo > Homo sapiens. The sequence continues at coordinate 46,271,344 of NC_000012.12, read as the reverse complement.
CTGTTTGTCTCTCAGTAAGCACACAGTGAATAGAGGAATCATCTAGACATCCCTGGCCTCAATTTGAGAAAACAGCAGCCTCCATGTTGATGTTTACTCTGGTTCTAGGTTGTCAACTAAAATCCAGAGAAGGGGTGAAGATCCTTCTAACTCTAGGCCCAAGAATGTCTGATTGCAAATGGTTGTAGCACCACTGTGAAGACTGAGCACGGATTTTGAATTCAGACCTGAAAGGGAATCGCTTCCCCTTCACTAATTACTGTCTTAGGTGAACATGGCCAATTCAACTTTGTACTTGTTTTCTTAAAGAGGATAATACCCAACTGAGGGATTGAAAGCTTTAAATGAGATATTTACATGTAAAGTCCTTAGCACAATAGCTGCCATATCATAGGAGCTCAGTTCATAACTGTTGATTCCAATTCAAAAAGTGCTAAATAACTGCAGTCGTTTTGATATACAGAAACTAGCAAGTAAGTTAAAATTGGAACCAAAAGACAAGCTTGGTTCAGATAATCTCCAAACAGCGATGAATACACATTCTGCCTTTAATAAGGTAAATATTCCAACAGGCCTATTAAGCTATGGCTCACAGTTCATCTACTTTACCTATTCAGATTTCTTACCTTATTGATAAGAATTATTTGTGCCAGGCAAGGTGCACACTACTTAAAATCATTAATTTCACAATAAATTAGCTTCCTCTAGTAAGGTAGAAAGAACCAACTTTTTGATGACCTATAGAATATTGCTATGTTGTGTGTACTCTTCTCCCCTTTTTCACAAATTTAGAAAACAGGATTAGGACAAAAGTAAAGCAGATGAGGGAAGCAGTAAGTGTCAGAGGAAGAAATTGAATGCAGGTCTGTCTGAGCTAGGCTGCCCATGTGTTTGCCCTTTTGGTTTGCTCTGAACTTTCTGTTTTTCAGTATTTCTCAAGAGCATGCCTTCTAAATAGGATTCTCAGGAAGCCACTGTTGAACTAATAAAGGCCATTTACTGCCATTCGAAGGGAATAAGAAGTTTAGTCCGTGATGAGTTTCAAATTTGGTTATCATCTTGCTTTTCCAGTGGTGATGAAAAAGCAAAATTCACCCAAATACAATGACTACTGTCTACTTGAAACGCTCCAGGTAGTTAATTTTTGAATTATGATTCACCTTCCCTTTCCTGTTTTGATGAACCATGAACAGGAGACTGAACCTTCCCTATCAATAAAAAGCTCGCGTTTCCACCCTGCAAATTCGCGCTATGACAGTCTAATTGGCTGAGGCGCAGGTGGGATTTCCTGTCGCCATTTTAAGACACAACTCCTCTGCAAGCAAGTGCCCAGCCAGTGAAAGGGGGCTGTGTCTGAAACAAAGAGTAAGCGGGAAAAAAGGGAACCAGGCCCAGTTGCCCCTGCTCCCCTCCATGCCGCTCCCTCGTCCCCCGGACTTGGAGCGCCCCAGCTCCGTTAACCTGGACGCACCAGGTCCTTCGGTCGGGACCACGTGGGGTCTCCAGGCCCTCCAAGAGCTGGCCCCCGGCTCTTTGCGCCTAGGCCGGTGCTTTCTCGGTGCTCAGCAAATCCTTCTGGTTCACCTCACACCCAGTCCCCAAAGCAGAGCTCCACAGGGCAGATCTCAGGAAGGGCTGACCAGGTCTGCGGGTGCTGGATCCGGAAGAGGGGAGGTGCCTCCCGCTTCAGGTTAGGGACAAAGGGTTTTTAAAGGTGCCCGAGCTCCCCGCCGCCCCTGCCACTTCGGTCCCCTTCCCGCCAACCCGGGCCATCTGCAGGCTGTGCCCAGGGCCAGCCCTCCGCTCCAACGCTGCCCGTAGTCCCAGGCGCTGCCCGCGGCTCTCCGGGCTGCGCTCGGACCTGCCACTCCCGCGGCCATCCTCATGCTGCGCCCTTCCCACAATGCAACTCCCTCGCTCCTTCGGCCCCGGCGGGGCTCTGGCGTACCCAAAATGCAGGCCCCAGCGGAACGCACAGCCCTCCTGTCCTCCGCCGGTGCCCCTTTAGCCGCCCCACCCCCATCCCTAAGGGCTCTCATTCTCCAGCTGCAGCCGCAGCTGGGTTCCGAACACGCCGCCGGGCCCCGGGAGGGAGAGGGGCAGGTGCCAGGGCGGCGCGCAGCCTCTGCTCCCGGTGCCAGCTTCAGTGCGCCGGGCACACGCGCGCCCCGCAACCCCTCCCTCACCCTTTCCCCGTTGCTCAATCTCCGCCAGCCGCGGTCGCTGCATCGTCAGAGAGCTGCAAGAGGGAGGCAGCAAGGTGCGGCCGCCAGCAGTGACACCATGTGACCGGCACGGCTCACTGACACGCAGCTTTGGTTAAAGAGCGGGCGCACAGGAGGGGAGGAGACCGCGCGCGGGACGGGGAGGAATGGCCTGTCCGCGTTAAACCATCACAAGCCATGGTTGCGGAAGGGCCACGCGTCCCCCAGTAGGAGAATGACTCCGATTCGTGACCCTCAGCGCCGGTGCATGTCGATGTAAGTGCGAGGCCGGCGAGCAGAGTGTGAGTGGGGGTTGGTGGTGAGGGGAGATTCTGATGCAATCGGCCCGGAAAGGAGGAGAGCCAGGCGAGCGCGGACTGGGGCGGCCACGCCACTCCGCCAGAAGGTCGCCAGGAGCCTCCGCCCTTCACCTTCCTCCGAAATCCGCCAGGCCACGCCAAGCTCCCTGCCCAACCCTTACTGACGGGGGCCACATTTTCCCGGCCTCCGCAGCCAGACCTTGACACAAAGGACATCAAACTGCCGAGGGTAAAAACCCCGGAAGGGCGGACACCTCCACATCGCCTTTTGCCACCTTTCCCTTTATTTCCGGAGGTAAGGTGATTATCCGTTCCCGGGGAGGGCTGGGCGAGCGGCAAGGGGAGATTTAGATGTCGGAGGAGGAGGTAACGTAGAAATCATCTCTGCGGGCGTGAAAGCAGAGAGAGCTCGGCTGTGCCCGATGCTTTCGGATGTTGCTTTTAGGAGAGGAAAAGTCCAGGTCTCCTGTGCTTCCCGAACGCACGCGGCAGCGGGAGGAAGCGCCAGGGCCCCCGAGTTCACCTTTGCGTGGGCTGTGGCTTACTTTTTGGTTTGTTTTCCTGTGACTTTGGTGTGTTTTCCTGTGGCTGTGGCAGAGTGTGGTACCAGATCTGGTTCCATTTTTACGAGAGCCAGGAACCACGCACGTCTGGAGGGAGAGCGCAGCTGACCCGAGGGCGCGACCGTGTTCTGGGAGTGTTTGAATCCCCGGCCTTTGGTGAAAATTTCCTGTGTCCGCAAGGCCCAGAGGAGATCGTGTGATGTCCGGGGGGTGCTGCGTGCGGCCGGCTGGGTAGCGGCCGCGGACCACCACTAAACCGGGGCATGTTTGCCGTCCTTCCTGGTGCTCTGCCCCTCTGTAACGCGGGGAAGTAGGAGGGCGCGGGGAGAAATTACTAAAGGATGCTTGCAGTGACTCACTGTCCTTTCCTGCCCTGAAGAGGATTTTCTAAAATGCAGAGGGTGGCAGGGGACAGAGGTAGTGTTTTTTCGAGAGCCGGGATGTGCTGGAGCCAGCGAACAAAAGGCCACCTCTTGCGCGGTCTTGGGCGCAGACTGCTCTCGCTTCCAGTCCCACCTCCTCCCCAACCCCCGGCACCTAGTTCGCGTCCCTAAACGTTGCCGCAGAGGCCTTTAAACGCGTGGGTCGGTGCCGGGAGGAGAGCGCATCTTCGCCCTTGTGCGAGCCCCTTGCCCCCTAAATTATCCACCTCCTGGCGCATGGGGCTCCCCAGCACCCACTGGGACCCAGTAGGTTACCCGGCTGCCTGGGCACCGTTTGCCTGCCAAATCGCCCGCCTGAGGTTTGTGCTGAACTGTAGTTAGAGAAGGCACAAGTGCATATGGCAGCAAAAGGAATTTCGCGGTACCCGCGTCACGCCGCTCCCAGTGCCTTTCACAGGCTGCCTTGGGCTGGGGAAGGTGGTGCTACAATTCAGAGTCCTTTGTCTTGCTCTGCGGCGCGGACCCGGGGTTTGTACAAACCCTCGTTCTCTGTTAGAAACCTAACTGCCGCCAGGATCACGTACTTTCTCGGACGAATCCGCGGTGATGTGTGTAGCAAAAGTGAAAAAAGACGCCTCTGCTAGAAAACGGTATTTATTTGCGTTTGGAAGGGGTTTTGACCTCTCTGCAGTGGGTTTTTACATTTTTCAATATAAGGGGGAGGAGGAAAATAAATTTATGGTTTGCAGAATGCAGGGCCCAGCGAGGGTGTAATTTGTCACCTTGATAAAAGAAACTGTGCAGCAACTCGTGCTTTTTCTGACGTCAGAAGGACAACGGAAATAAAACCTGAGCTCGGTGCATGGCTGGCCTCGTTGTCAAATGTCTCATGCCAATTTGGTACTCCCGAAATCTTGCAAAACAGCCAATTCCGGGGTACTGACCTGGTGTGGACCCCCTGGATTTTGGTTCGACCCCAGCCTCAAAATGGCCTTTCTCTTGAGAGTCACTCGATTTCTCAGTATGTCGCTGTAAGCAATTGGAAACTGGAATAGTTTGGTTTGAGGTCTTAATCTTGAGGTTTATTCGCTTTTTAAAAAAATGTGGCCAATAAACATTTTCTACAGAGGGCTTACTGTGCGACTGGCAGCAACTAACAAGATTTGTTTCACCTTCTATGAAGCTTCCGTTCTCAGGGGGAAATAGACTATATAAATGTAGGCATATACATTTCAGGTATTCTTAGTGCAATGAAGAAATAAAACAGGATCATGTGATGGGGGAGGATGCTTGAAATAGAGTGACTCACCGGGAGGGGCGGTGTGAGGGTATAACATTTGTCCTCAGACCCGAATGATGAAAAGGGATCAGCTATTTCCATAATTGAGGGAAGAAGGCCAGCGGAAGGAACAGGAAGAAGGAACAGCAAGTACTTATTGCACTCTTCTTTGACTGTAATATAATTGAACAGATAGATGAATAGATTTTAAAGGTGTTTTGGAGCTTTAAACCTATATGTATGTTGTTTATGTATATTTTTTATGATGCTTCATGAATTAAGGCCATTTAATGAAAGGAGCACCATGTTTCTGATATCTGACTATTGCTACTCTTTTCTTTACTCTGGGTGATGCTTGTGGACAAAAACCGATTTTACTCATTGTTCCTCTAATGTCCAGCACATAGTACCTGCTTAATAAATACTTGTTGGATCGAGACCTTGAGACCTTGATCAGGCCATCTTGTTCATCTCTTTGTGATATTATTGGCCATCCCTTCCGTTCTATATCTCATCTGTTCCCCTTCTCCTAAGTTTGAAAATGAGAGTCTTTTTCTTCTCTGCTTCTCCTTCTCGTACTGCCCTTCCCACTTTGAGCAGTGACCAGGCCCTTGAAAATACCCCTCACACTTGTCCTCTTGTCTCCATTTCCACTGCCCAAGTTCAGGTCCCTGTCACCTTACCTAGACTTGGAGACATATGAAACAGATATAGAGGTGCCTTGAACAACCTAGGGGCAGTGGGAGTGGGCGGTGGAGAAAAATGCAAGCACAACATATGGTTAAGAGTGAAACAGCCAGTTACTGAGGTGGAACAGCTTTCCTGTTGGTCTCTCCTCCATATCAAGTTATGCTCCCCTAATTAAATCTCCATTCTTTCATGAGGTTTATATTTCTAAAATTCAGTTCACATTTTGTTAAAGGACCTTGCTTTTAAAAACCTCTGAGGGTTTCCATTGCACACAAATACAGTCTAAATTCCTTAGCCATACACTTAGGACCCTTCACAATCTGCCTTCTCATCTCTTTCCAATTTTTTCTCTTGATATTTTCTTTCTCACAGTTCACCCTATTCCCTCCCTATCACTTTTCTGCTTCAATATCTGTGTGGATTGGATTCCAGTCCAGAATGCCTACTGAAATCCTGTGTACTTGTGATGGCCTATCCCTGATGCCACTTTTCCACCTCTTGGGAGAAGTGTTCACTGATCACCTCACTGGCATTTTCATAAGTATTTGTTTATCCTTCACATTTTGGACTGTTGTTACTCCAGGTGATGGAAGGTGGTGAATAGGGGCTTAGGCTCTGAGTCAAATATAAATATCAGGCCTCAGCTTACTCACCCAGGAATCTTGGGCAAGGTGTTTGGCATCTCTAAGCCTCAGTTTTTTCTTTTGCTAAATGGGAATGATGATGCTGGTGGTAGTGTTGGTGGTACCCACTTTACTGAGTGATGGTAAAGATTTAATGAAGATAATGAATGTGAAGTATTTGGTATAGTGTTAGCATTCCATATGTATTGAATTAAACATATCTACCAGAGGAGGGAGAGAAAGTTGATCAGTAAAGTTCCCTTTACCTCTGAAATTCTGTGACTATGTAATCTTTTAAAAATACTTTTCTGAAAATATATCTTGATGGAAACTACCTGGATCTTTTTAGTCTCTGGGAGAATATACATCTATGAAAGGTGGTGAGGAGGTAGGAGAAGTATGTGCACAGAAGTACTTTGAAGAATGTGTGACAGACTTCGAAAAAGACATCTTGTATGCAAAGGCACACAGAGTAATATAATGGACTGTGGAGACTCAGAAGCCAGAGGTTGGAAGGGAGGATGCCAGATAAAAAGCTACAGATTGGGTACAATGTGTACTACTCAGATGACAAGTGCACTAAAGTCTCAGATTTCATCACTTTCAATTCATTTATATAACCACCAAAAATCACTGATACCCCAAAATCTATTGAAATAAAAAAATTTTAAGTAAAATTAAAAGATTAACTTCAATAACCTAAAAAAAGACACTGACCCTAGATTTAAAATAAGATTTTAAATTTAAAAATATTGTTGTACTTATTTCTGAAAATTGATCACATATTTGTTTTCTAGTGATAACCTTACTAATAACAGAGGAGTTCCCCTAACCATGTTACCTTCCCAATCACTGAATTCCTCTACTATTAGTAAGTAACTCTGTTTCAAGTGAGGTTACAATGTGTCTTTGGCAATAACTAGCTGGGTACCCTTGAGCAACTCATTTCACATTTTTATGCCTCATTTTCTCATCTGTCCAATGCTAATAATAGTATCAGTGCTGCGTACCTCAGAGTTGTGAAGATACAATGAGAGCAGAGCTGAGAAAGTCCTTGAACAAGTTTAAAAAAACTATTCAAGATGATAGTCATCTGGCATTAAGCATGCTGCTAATCTTCAGGGTCAGGTGATGGTTTTAGATTAGTGAGTCTCAGAGCAGACTTCACATTAGACTCATCTAGGGTGTTTTAAAAGCTGTCAGTGCCAAGACTTCAACTCCAGAGATTCAGATTTAGTTGGCCTGGGATGGAGCCCAAATATGGGAGCTTAGAAAATATCAGGGGTGATTTTGATATGCATTGGTTTAGATTTAAAGCAAGGAAAACAAAACAAACATCAGAAATTAAATGAGGACCTCCATATGTTGCTTGACAAAGTCTTAGTCTTAGTAGTGTGAAATTATGAGCTTGACTGACTTTTCCCCCTGATTTTACTAAACCAACCATTTGTTGACATCATGGAGCCACAGCCTCAGGTTACAGTTTATAACCTGAATTTTCCCAGGCATAGACGCCTGTCCAGTGATACAGCCAGAGCCACATGAAGATTTAATGTGTAGATCTCAGTTTCCATCTCTTAGGAATGGCGAAGGTTGGAAAAGAAAGCGACAATGGAAAGGAAAAAGAAAGGGATAGGCTATGGACCAAGGTATAGGAGAAAGAGGCTCTGAGCAGGAGACAGACAGGTCAGAGCACAGAGAAAACACTGTGTTTAATTTATTGAACCGGTTTTGTTTAGGTTGCAAACTGGTGGCTAGAGAGCCAAATTAAGCTTGTGGGCATATTTTATGTGACTTACGCTTTCTTTTAAAATTATTTGAAATTAGTTGCCAACTCTTAAATATCAGAATTTCACTTAGAATTTTGATTTCTGGCATTTATTGAAAAACATAAAAATAAAAAGACCAGGCTCATTCCTGCCACTAGTTGGAGGGAAATAGATGGGACATGTGTTCTCTAGTTCCTTATGCCCAGTCTGCTTTGCCCATTTATCTTACCTACCTGAGCACTAGCTTCTTTTGTTTTAACTTTTATTCTCAATCTGGGGATCTTAACATTGGCTGCACATAAGAATGCTCTCCTCTGGAGAGCGTTTAAAATAACCATGCTTGGATCCTGTCCTATACCAATTAAGTCAGAGACTGTTGTGTGTGTAGTGTCCCCTTATCACTTTTATTTTTTTAAAGCTCCCCAGTTTGTTCCAATGTCCTGTTAGAACTGAGGCCTATTGGCCTACAAAGGCAACTATTCAAGAGATTTGTCTACAAGTCCACCTTCTTATCTTTGGAAGTGATTCATTAAGAAATAGTGTATAGAATCATTAATTCAGAGAACTGGGAGAGGTCTTTGAGAGAGCAGCCATTAATCCAATCTTCTTATTTTAAGGTGAGGAGACAGAGACCCAGAGAGGAGAAAGGAATTGTTCTGAGACTGTAACCATCATCTGGTATTGAATTATATAGTGTCTTTTATTACATTTTCTCTTTTCAAATAAAAGTCTATTTTTAAGATTTCTTTTTATAAATGATCCTCTTTATATGCAGCACTTTGTGATGCTTTAAAGTTCTTATTATTTCTGTTTTTCCTTGAGTATTTTGTTAGGAGTCATAACTTAGCTAGGGCTTAAAAACAAACACACAAAACTGTATCCATCTTTTTTAGTACAATAGCAATCCTTGATCAGAAATATCTTTAGAACAAAAAACATATATGCAAATAAAGAGATTTTTCTCAAGGGCTGAAATATTCCAGGCTGTTTTCAACTGCATGAGTTTTTAGTAATTATTTAAATCCATTAATTTTCAATTGACAAGAAATATTTTTAATTTTGTTGGTATTCACACTACTCATATACACTCACTGTTCTAATTAATTAAGATTCAATTCTTTTGGTGTTTTTTTTTTAAATGTAATATACAGTCTGTCCTCCTATATCCAGTTATAGGTTGACTTCATTAACTTTAGAGTTTATTTTTTCTGTCTTGAATAAATTGGAATTGTTTCAAAATTTCTGATATAGATAGGTTAGTTACCAACATCATAAGCTGGTCATGTTGATAACAGACATTTAAAAGATCATATGGGAACTTGAAGACAAGAGGAATTATGGAACGATTAAGAGCAGGTTTTGGGATCCTGTTAAGATAGGATGCACTGGGCAATTTGTCCAAGGAAGTTAGCGGTTCATCTCCATGCCCCACAAAGAGGGGGTCCATACTCATCCCCTGTGAGCTTCTGTAACACAGGGCTTCTTGCCCTTCACACTACTGGCATTTGGGGCCAGACAGCTCTTTGTTGTGTGTGGCTGTCCTGTGCATTGTATGATGTTTACCAGCATCCCTGGTCTTTCTCAACTAGATGCCTGCAGCACCCCCTCACTTACTGCAACCCAAAATGTCTCCAGGCATTGCCAAATACCTCCTGGGGGCAGGGAGAGGGACACAATTGTCCCCAGTTGAGAACCACTTCTTTAATACAACTCCTTCTCTGGACTTTTAGAAATCATGCCAAGAATTCTTAAACATTCCAAGCATAGTGGCTGGGACAGTAATGATAAATACCTTCCGTTTATATAGTTCTTTACAATACTAAATGCATTTTTACATAAATCCCACACGCCCAGATCAAATGTAAAGGAGATCAGGTGGTAAACTTAATGAAAACTATGAGGTAGGGCTATCCACATTGCTTCATGTTCCCATTTTTGTTTTGTTTTCCATGGGAAGATGGTGTTTGTGATGCTCACTGAATATATTGTCTGCAGGCAGGTGATCATAGCTTTCTTTTTAAATTTAGTCCTCATTTTTATTGTTAACATGTGTTTACTGTCACCATATACTAGACCTTTGAGATGTATGGTCCTTGTCCCCAAGGAATTGAAATTGTAAATAAAAAGATTACTGAAATATGAGCCCCCTTGCTATAAGCCAGTGAGTAATCTACACGAAACTGCTGTAAGAATTCATCACAGGTAAACAGTCAAGCAGGTTCTCAACTGGAACAATTATGTCCCTCTCCCTGCCCCCAGGAGGTATTTGGCAATGCCTGCGTTGGTCATTGGAGAAAGGCATCACAGAAGAGTTGGCTTGAATTTTTTAAAAAAGCAAGCAAGCTGGGCTTTGAAAGAAAGGTCATACTTAAGTTAGCATAGGCTTCATGGGAAGGTGGAGAGGGTGTGTCCAGGATCAGGGGGATGGTGTGAACAAAGCAGAAAACTGCATAAGAGTAGACCCATTGCAGGAATGGAAAATTAGAAGGAATATAGTGGGAGCATAAATTAAAGAGAAAGCTGTCTGAGGTTCTAGAGATTAGACCTCATCCTGTAGAGGGAACAGTTATGATTGGCAAGGCAGAAAGAGGAATGTGCAAGACTGTCTTTTCAGGAAGAATCTGCCTCTATAGGTGGGAGAGGGCAAGAAGCAGGAGGTAGCGTGGCGGAGAGTGACTGTGGCAAAGTTCAGGCTGTGAAACTGTAAGGAATAAGGGAAAGGAAAAGGATTTTGTGAAGGAATGTTGGCAGGACTTGGCAACTGATTAGATATGAGGTTGTATGAAAGCCATACTCAAGTTTCAAGTCTGAGTGACAAGGAGAAGGTGCATTATATCTTTAACAGAAATAGAATGCTGGCATGTGAGGTCAGGTGATGCGTTCTGCTTCAGGCATGTGGAATCTGAGGTAATGATAAACATCCTAATGGAGCAGTCCAGAAGGCAGCAGGAGTCTGAAAAGAATTTATGGAAATGTTTCTGAGAAGGAAAGAACCTGAGAGATAACCTCTCTTTCATGCCCTCTCATTTTACAGATGAAGAAACATGTGACATGTTAAGTGGCATGATCATGATCAAGTTGTATTTATGAGGGAGATCCTATTTCATAACGCAAAGGAATTCTAGTTTTATAAAGTGAAAAAGACTGGGAAGAAAGATCTGAAAGATGCCTTTGTAGAATGAAACTTGACACTACAGCCCTGAAGCCCTAAAAAGGAAAGAATTTGGAATATGTGGAGCAAGAAGAGTCGAGGCCCAAAGAGCTACTTCTACACAGAAAGTTGGGAGGAGGAGGGATCTGGCAGAGGAGACCAAGAAGGTCTTGGGAGGATGCAGTGTGGAGTTATTTGGGAGAAGTCAGAAAACAGGAACAATGGTCACAATAATTTACAAAACCCGGGCCAGACGCTGTTCTAAGTGCTGCACATGGACCAAGTCATGGAATCTTTATGACTGTATCAGATGGGTATTGCTTTAAGTCCATTTTACAGATGAGGAAACTAAGGCAAAGAGAAGTTAACCTTCTTTCCTGGGGCTACACAGCTTCTAAGTGGTGGAGCCAGAATTTCCTAATCAGGCATGATTTCAGGGGAGTGGTGGCAGGAGCAAGTAGTTTAGAGACTGCTAGCAGTAAAGAGAGGGGTGTGATGATAGTTCAAGGTTCTAGACAGAGTTATGTTCCAGATAAAGAGCTCTGAGGATGATGGATGTCAAGAAGGGAAGGCAGAGAGAGGAAGTAGAGAAACAAGGTCCTAGCAGAAGAGCCAGGACCTTAAGCACAGGTTAAACCATTAGTCTTGGGCAAGAAGAGAGTAAAACCACTTATTTTTCTGAGACCACTTACTAGCTTCCCAGGTTTTTCACTACCAAAGGCCATTTTTATTATTCCCCACCTTCCAAAAGCCCCAGATTTTCAAAGATTTTGATGATCGGCTTTAATTTTTTATTTTAATTAAAGTATAAATTATATGCAATGCAGTGTCCAGATATTAAGTATACTATTTAATGAGTTTTGAGTGTTGACTTTAATATATTAATTCATTTCCCATTTTTATTACTCAAAGGTATATAAAATTGCCAATCAAATTTAGGATTATCACATCAAGTTAATGAAGCCTTGCTAACAGTATGGATACCTCACCATTTAGTTAACCTGTTTAGCCTGTTTGAGGCCTTTTGAAATATAGATCCATGTTAGTTCTTAGATCCTTATCACTATCATCTATGAACCCTGAGGATCCAAGAACCCCAAGTGGGTAAACAGACACAGTCAGTTATGGGACTAGCTGGCCCGGAATTATAGAACCATTGTTGACCTTAGGCTTAACACTTTCTCCGCTTTAAAAATTATATGTATTTAAGGTGTGCAACGTGATGTTTTGGTATACATATGCGTGGTAAAATGGTTACTAGAGTCAAGAAAATTAATATATCCATCATCTCACGTGGTCACTTCTTTTTTGTGGCAAGAGCACCTAGAATCCACTCTTTTAGCAAAAATCCCATATATATAATACAATATTACAGGTTGAGCATCCCTAATCCAAAAATCCAAAACCCTGGCTGGGCACAGTGGCTCACGCCTGTAATCCCAGCACTTTGGGAGGTTGAGTTAGGTGGATCATCTAAGGTTAGGAGTTCAAGACCAGCCTGGCCAACATAGTGAAACCCCATCTCCACTGAAAATATAAAAATTAGCTGGGCATGGTGGCATGTGCCTGTAATTCCAGGTACTCGGGAGGCCGAAGCAGGAGATTCTCTTGAATCTGGGAGGCGGAGGTTGCAGTGAGCAGAGATCTCATCACTACACTCCAGCCTGGGTGACAGAGTGAGATTTCATCTCAATAAATAAATAAATAAACACATTTTAAAAAGTCCAAAACCCACAAAAGTCCAAAACTTAAAACTCTGAGCACTGACACGATGCCCAAGTAGAACATTTTACATCTAACCTCCTGTGATAGGTCACAGTCAAAATGCAGTGAAAACTTTGTCTTATGCACAAAATTATTTAAAATATTATGTAAAATTGCCTTTAGGGTATGTTTGTAAGGTGTATATGAAACAAATGAATTTCAAGTTTGCACTTGGGTCTCGTCCCCAGGATATCTCATAATATGTATGCAAATATTCCAAAATCCAAAAAATCAAAAATCTGAACTACTTCTGTCAGAGGCATGTGAACCAGAGCAACTCCATCTTAAATAGGAGCTGAGTAAAATGAGGCTGAGAGCCACTGAGCTGCGTTTCCAGATGGTTAAAGCATTCTAAGTCACAGAATGAGATAAGAGGTTAGCACAAAGTACAGGTTGTAAAGACCTTAATGATAAAACAGGTTGCAGTAAAGAAGATGGCTAAAACCCACCAAAACCAAGATGATGATGAGAGTGACCTCTGGTCGTCCTCACTGCTACACTCCCACCAGCACCATGACAGCTTACAAATGCCATGGCAATGTCAGGAACCCTATATGGTCTAAAAATGGGAAGCATGAATAATTCACCCCTTGTTTAGCAAATCATCAAGAAATAATCATAATCAGCAACCAGCAGCCCTCGAAGCTGCTCTGTCTATGGCGTAGCCATTTCGCTTTACTCTATGGACTCACCCTGAATTTTTTCTTGTGCGAGATCTAAGAACCCCATCTTCTGGGGTCTGGATTGGGACCCTTTTCCTGTAACATCTTTCTGGCAACCACGAAGGGGCTATAGTGCAGAAACCCGCAGTAAGTGTTGGGGTCTTGTAACATCTTTCTGGCGACTGTGGAAGCGACTATTGTGAGGAAACCCCTGATCCAAAGGCTAGCTTTGGGTAAGTGGTGGGGTCCTGTGACATCTTTCTGGCCACCGCAGAAGCAACTAGTGAGGAAACCCCCAACTCAAAAGCTAACTTTGAGTAAGTGGTGGGGTCTGGTAACATTTTTCTGCCAAACCCGGAAGGTACAATACCGAAGAAGCCTCCCAACCCAAAGGCAATAGATTGATCAGCCGACTTGGGGTAAGTGGTGGGGTACCTGGGTAAAGAATGGGATTGGGTTAGAGGCCCAACTTAGGAGAGTTAGAGTTTCTCCTAAGACAGAGAGGGTTAAAGCCTCCTCTTGATAAAAGACAAGGACACCCAAATGGGTTAGAGGCCCAAATTAGGAGTGTTAGAAATCCTTCCAAGATTTAGGGGGTTAGAAGTCCCTCTCAGTAAAGTCCTTCTCATAAAATCCCTCTTGGCTAAGAATGGGCTTGGTACTACAGCCTGTTAACTGCTATTCTCTTTGGATTAATCTGCCTGGCAGTCTCTGCTGATGGCTGTGGGTGACAGGATTAGGCATGTACAGAATCTTGGGACACGGAATGCTTTTTCCTCCCTAAAAGGGGAAACTTGAGAGCTGATGGGACTGCTGGAAAAGATCACTTCTTGACTGACAAGTGGCCGCCTGAACTTTTCAGTGGTGCTGCAATGGGTGGGTCTTTTTCTGGCCTCCCTGAGCATTTCGCCTTCTCCACCCTGCCACAGGCAATGCTTTTCTCTCTCTCCTTTCCCTTTATTATCTTTTCTATTACTCAGGGTGACCATCTTACCCAGACACCACATGTTGAAACTCTTGGTTGGAGGTTGGATTAACAATGATGGGGGCAAGTTTGAGCCTTGCCAGTTTGATATTGGGTGTTAAGCACAGTGGTAATGTCTATGTTTTGTCACACATATTTTGTTCTGGCCAGATGGAAAAAGATAATTTTCCTTTGTGTTGCAGCTTGGCCCCCAGGGCTGTGATGCAGCCAGCCAGGTCTCAGGGAGAGGGAACCCAGAAGCCTGGCATGCTGGCCAAAGGGTAAGAATTTCTTACCAGCCAGACTTCTGGTCTCTCTCTCTCTCTCTCTCTCTCTGTGTGTGTGTGTGTGTGTGTGTGCGCGCGCGCGCGCAAACTGGATGAGGTTTCCTTCCGGTCAGTCATGTCCTTGGGAGCTTGACCTTGCAACCACGTGGCAGTACTTTCTCTTGGTCTCTGCCATCACAATGGCAGCCCGGGTTCGGGGTTGAATTCCCAGCTTAAGGGATCATCCTTTGTCTTCTGTTTGTCTATGTATTTATATGTAGTATGTGTGTGTAATATAAAAGAATTTTAATTAATTGCTTTAATAATAATAAGCTTAAATCAAATATTTTGTCACATAAGTAAAAAGTGTAATGCCTTTTAGTTCATGTGACTTAAGTAATCTTTGGGAAATAAAAACAGTTTTAAAGATTACTGGTAAAATAAAGACATTTGGTCTAAATTATGCAGGTCAGATATTAAGTTTGCTAAATGCCTTAAGGTCATAAACTGCTGCTTTGACTTTTTTTTTTTTTTTTTTTTTGAGATAGAACCTCTCTCTGTTGCCCAGGCTGGAGTGCAGTGGCGTGATCTCGATTCACTGTAAGCTCTGCCTCCTAGGTTCACGCCATTCTCCTGCCTCAGCCTCCCAAGTAGCTGGACTACAGGCGCCTGCCACCATGCCCAGCTAATTTTTTGTATTTTTAGTAGAGACAGGGTTTCTTTCACCATGTTAGCCAGGATGGTCTTGATCTCCTGACCTTGTG
Source organism: Homo sapiens (assembly GCF_000001405.40). NCBI lineage: Eukaryota > Metazoa > Chordata > Mammalia > Primates > Hominidae > Homo > Homo sapiens. The sequence goes on along the minus strand of NC_000012.12, from coordinate 46,255,942 downwards.
ATCCACCCGCCTCGGCCTCCCAAAGTGGTGGGATTACAGGCTTGAGCCACCACACCCAGCCCTTTGACTTTTGAAAATTGTTCAGTTTACCTACTTTGGCTACTTTGGAGCATTAGATTCTAGATAAGGCCAGGGACATGTGGAGTTAGCCACACCCCGTAGCTATGCTGGAAAAAGTCAGTCCTTATCTGCACTTCTGTGTGCTATCCTAGGCTGCACACCTAGTACATAATTAAAATCCCAAACTTACCAAGGTTTTCATCAAAAGTAAAAGAGTTAGCATTGTAACATATAATTAAGACTACTGAAAGAACAGTTCTACATGCAAAGTGTGTAAGAAAAGTGAAATGTGTTTTTGGTGAAAGATTATAAGAAGGTATGGGAATGTGGATTTTTCTTGCCCAAATTAAAGGATTAAAGAATTGTTTTCAGTTAGATAGAATAAAGCTGAAGGTTTAAGCAAGTTATGGAAAGTGTAAAAAACTAATCTTGTAAAAAAGGATTCTGTATGTGGACATTGGCTAAAACTAAAGGGGTATTATTCATTTTTTCCATAAGTTAGACATTGGAGTAAAAGCACAACAGGTTTTTCTTAGAGGAAAAACCTTCTCATGATCTGTATGTTATTAATAATTATAATTGTTACATAAAATTACTGTGTGCACAGAGGTAACCCAAATTTCCTAGTCAATCGTGGCTTTAATAGTGGCTGTCCTAAAAGATTTTGTTATCCACAGACAATCGTTTTCTTGTTTTAATCCTCTTTAAAAGGTGGTTTTATAATCAACAATAGGACTTTGACAGATGTTCTAAAATGCAAGCTTCTGATAACTTTGGAAATTGTGACATTAGAATAGAAGAAAAACTTTCAGAACTCTCACAGAGAGGTGAAATGTTCATGAATATCAAGAACAGGGGTTAACTAAATTAACCGAAACAATGGAAGACTAAAGTAATCTTTTTGACTTTGCTTAAAATGTTGCTGACCCTTTGTTTTGTTTTTCAGAGTCAAGGAAACTTTTGAGCTATTTACAGCTTGTAGCAATTATGTAAAGTATACTCCTCTGAACAAAATTTGGAGCATGTTTGTTTCTCTCTACCTGATTTCCCCAGAATCTGGAAACTATCTGTGAGTATTCTCAACTTTTAGCAATATAGTTATTTGCATAAGTGCAATAAGAATCTGTTTTCTTTTGTAACAGGACACAATTGGAGAAACTGGTTATTTTACCAAGGCTTTGACTGGAACAGCATGCTTTCCTTTAAGGAATCAAACCTGACTTGTAAAGCCAAGCAAATCCCTTTGGGGAATTGGCCTCATACTTGCCTACACAGACCTCAAAAGGAGAGAAATTTACCCAACTCATAGGTATTTGAGGGTTCAAACTCATTGCAAGGCTTGGTTCTAAAAAGTCTTATCTGAGATTCCTTCTATGGAGCAGAGTTCCATCAAAGCGAAATTACAAAAGGCTTATGTGAAAAATAATTATTCTTGCTGCACTTTATACAAAAAATCAGGCCAAGTATAATAAAGCAAATCAGTGTTACTATGATTTGTCTTTAGTAAAAAATGGGAAACTGGAGAGAGAAACTGTGTTTCAAGAATTATGCTACACTTGTTATTAAATTCTAGTCTCATCAGTTGCTTTTAAGTTAGTTGCTGCAATTTATTCCTGTGAACCAACCAGTGATCTCTAGCTGCTGCTCAGAAGAAACAAGAGGGATGAGTAATGTAAAAATCTGGATCAATATTCCAATTCTGGACATATTGGAATCATCTAGCAATGTCATATCAGCTTGGTTCCAACAGTTGCCCTTATAATTTGGAACTTCTTATAATTTAGTTTACTTGAGATAATTTTTACTTATTTTGCTTTACTCTTGTGGAATACATTGCTATGGCACTCTGTATAGGCATAAGGATAAGCTTACTCAATGTTTTCTTAAATTGAACACTTATTCATCTTCCAAATATTACTTTTTGTCAGAACTTAAGAGTCATAAATGTCCCTCACCATACTGATGCTTTCTGACTGAGCGCGTCTCTACCCTGAACACAAGATATTCTCATAGTTAGGTAGGAATACCATCACCCCTATTCAGCCTGAAGAAGTTACTAAAGATGGATTTTCATCCCTGTGCAGCCCTTAGGATTAAGGGTTCTCTTATAAAAGGGAGGGGGGAAATGTCAGAGGCATGTGAACCAGAGCAACTCCATTTTAAATAGGAGCTGAGTAAAATGAGGCTGAGAGCCACTGAGCTGCATTTCCAGATGGTTAAAGCATTCTAAGTCACAGAATGAGATAGGAGGTTAGCACAAAGTACAGGTCATAAAGACCTTAATGATAAAACAGGTTGCAGTAAAGAAGCTGGCTAAAACCCACCAAAACCAAGATGGTGATGAGAGTGACCTCTGGTCGTCCTCACTGCTACACTCTCACCAGTGCCATGACAGTTTACAAATGCCATGGCAACATCTGGAAGTTGCCCTATATGGTCTAAAAAGGGGAGGCATGAATAATCCACTTTGTTTAGCATATCATCAACAAATAACCATAAAAATGGGCAACCAGCAGCCCTTGGGGCCGCTCTGTCTGTGGAGTAGCCATTCTTTTATTCCTTTACTTTCTTAATAATCTTGCTTCTGCTTTGCACCTTGGGCTTGCCCTGAATTCTTTCTTTCCTGAGATCCAAGAACCCTCTTTTGGGGTCCAGATCAGGACCCCTTTCTTGTAACACTTCTGGTCCCAAACATTTTTGATAAGAAATACTCAAACTGTATTAACTACAGTCCTCATGTTGTACATTTGCTCCCTAGACTTATTCATCCTACACATCTGCAACTTCATATCCTTTGACCTACATCTCCACATTTCCTCCCCAAACTCTTTATAACAACTGTTTTATTCTCTATGTCTGTGTATCAGACTTTTTTTTTTTTTTTTTCAAAAAAAGATACCATGTATACATGAGATCATGCAGTATTTTTCTTTCTGTTTCTGGATTGTTTTACTTACCATTATGTCCTCCAGATTCATCCAGGTTGTGGCAAATGAGAGGATCCCCTTCTTTTTTAAGGTTGAATAACATTTTATTTTATATGTGCCTGTGTTTCTTATCCATTCACATCCATGGGCACTTAGATTGTTTCCATATCTTGGCTATTGTGAATAATGCTGCAACGAACATAGAAAGAACATTTCTATGTGCATAGAAAAACCATGGAAGGCCATACAACAATTATATATATATATGAGTGATCATCTCTGCTTGCTGAGATAACAGGTGAACTTTTTTCTTTTTGGTTGTTTTATTCCATTTGAAAAATTGTATTTTCTAACATTTATACCAAATCTATATTAATTAATTCATTCATGTAATTATTTTTAAATAAATTAATTAGCATTTATTTATTAATAAAGAATGAATATATATATTTTATTATACTTCTAGGGTATATATATTATAGTTCTAGGGTACATGTGCACAACGTGCAGGTTTGTTACATATATATACATGTGCCATGTTGGTTTGCTGCACCCATTAATTCGTCATTTACATTGGGTATTTCTCGTAATGCTATCCCTCCCCCAGGCCCCCACCCTGTGACAGGCCCCGGTGTGTGATGTTCCCCTCCCTGTGTCCAACTGTTCTCATTGTTCAATGCCACCTATGAGTGAGAACATGCAGTGTTTGATTTTCTGTCCTTGTGAGAGTTTGCTGAGAATGATGGTTTCCAGCTTCATTCATGTCCCTTCAAAGGACATGAACTCATCCTTTTTTATGGCTGCATAGTATTCCATGGTGTATATGTGCCACATTTTCTTAATCCAGTCTATCATCGATGGACATTTGGGTTGGTTCCAAGTGTTTCCTATTGTGAATAGTGCCACAATAAACATACGTGTGCATGTGTCTTTATAGTAGCAAGATTTATAATCCTTTGGGTATATACCCAGTAATGGGATTGCTGGGTCAAATGGTATTTCTGGTTCTAGATCCTTGAGGAATTGCCACACTGTCTTCCACAATGGTTGAACTAATTTACACTCCCACCAAGAGTGTAAAAGCATTCCTATTTCTCCACATCCTCTCCAGCCTCTGTTGTTTCCTGACTTTTTAAATGACCGCCATTCTAACTGGAGTGAGATGGTATCTCATTGTGGTTTTGATTTGCATTTCTCTGATGACCAGTGATAATGAGCATTTTTTCCATGTGTCTGTTGGCTCCATAAATGTCTTTTTTGAGAAGTGTCTGTTCATATCCTTTGCCCACTCTTTGCTGGGGTTGTTTGTTTTTTTCTTGAAAATTTATTTAAGTTCTTTGTAGATTCTGGATATGAGCCCTTTGTCAGATGGGTAGATTTTCTCCCATTCTGTAGGTTGCCTGTTCACTCTGATGGTAGTTTCTTTTGCTGTGCTGAAGCTCTTTAGTTTAATTAGATCCCATTTGTCAATTTTGGCTTTTGTTGCCATTGCTTTTGGTGTTTTAGTCATGAAGTCCTTGCCCATGCCTATGTCCTGAATGGTATTACCTAGGCTTTCTTCTAGGGTTTTTATGGTTTCAGGTCTAACACTTAGGTCTTTAATCCATCTTGAATTAATTTTTGTATAAGGTGTCAAGAAGGGATCCAGTTTCAGCTTTCTACACATGGCTAGTCAGTTTTCCCAGCACCATTTATTAAATAGTGAATCCTTTCCCCATTTCTTGCTTTTGTCAGGTTTGTCAAAGATCAGATGGTTGTAGATGTGTAGTGTTAATTCTGAGGCCTCTGTTCTGTTCCATTGGTCCATATATCTGTTTTGGTACCAGTACCATGCTGTTTTGATTACTGTAGCCTTGTAGCATAGTTTGAAGTCAGGTAGCATGATGCCTCCAGCTTTGTTCTTTTTGCTTAAGATTGTCTTGGCAATGTGGGCTCTTTTTTGGTTCCATATGAACTTTAAAGTAGTTTTTTTTCCAATTCTGTGAAGAAAGTCATTGGTAGCTTGATGAGGATGGCATTGAATCTATACATTACCTTGGGCAGTATGGCCATTTACACAATATCAATTCTTCCTATCCATGAGCATGGAATGTTAGTCCATTTGTTTGTGTCCTCTTTTATTTCGTTGAGCAGTAGTTTGTAGTTCTCCTTGAAGAGGTCCTTCACATCCCTTGTAAGTTGGATTCCTAGGTATTTTATTCTCTTTGTAGCAATTGTGAATGGGAGTTCACTCATGATTTGGCTCTCTGTTTGTCTGTCTGTTATTGGTTTATAGGAATGGTTGTGATTTTTGCACATTGATTTTGTATCCTGATACTTTGCTGAAGTTGCTTATCAGCTTAAGGAGATTTTGGGCTAAGATGAAGGGGTTTTCTAAATATACAATCATGTCATCTGCAAATAGGGACAGTTTGACTTTGTCTTTTCCTAATTGAATACACTTTATTTCTTTCTCTTGCCTGATTGCCCTGGCCAGAACTTCCAACACTGTGTTGAATAGGAGTGGTAAGAGCGGGCATCCCTGTCTTGTGCCAGTTTTCAAAGGGAATGCTTCCAGTTTGTGCCCATTTGGTATGATATTGGCTGTGGGTTTGTCATAAATAGCTCTTGTTATTTTGAGAAACGTTCCATCAATACCCAGTTGATGGAGAGTTTTTAGCCTGAAGCGCTGTTGAATTTTGTCGAAGGCCTTTTCTGCATCTATTGAGATAATCATGTGGTTTTTGTGGTTGGTTCTGTTTATGTGATGGATTAGGTTTATTGATTTGCGTATGTTGAACCAACCTTGCATCCCAGAGATGAAGTCAATTTGATTGTGGTGGATAAGGCTTTTGATGTGCTCCTGGATTTTATTTGCCAGTATTTTATTGAGGATTTTCACATCAATGTTCATCAGGGATATTGGCCTAAAATTCTCTTTTTTTGTTGTGTGTCTACCAGGCTTTGGTATCAGATGATGAGGGCCTCATAAAATGAGTTAGGGAGGATTCCCTCTTTTTCCATTAATTAGAATAGTTTCAGGAGGAATGGTACCAGCTCCTCTTTGTACCTCTGGTAGAGTTCGTCTGTGAATCTGTCTGGTCCTGGACTTCTTTTACTTGGTAGGCTATTAATTATTGCCTCAATTTCACAGCCTGTTATTGGTCTATTCAGAGATTCCACTTCTTCCTGGTTTAGTGTTGAGAGGGTGTATGTGCCCAGGAATTCAGCCATTTTTCCTAGATTTTTCTGGTTTATCTGTGTAGAGGTGTTTATAGTATTCTCTGATGGTAGTTTGTATTTCTGTGGGATTGGTGGTGATATCCCCTTTATCATTTTTTATTGCATCTATTTGATTCTTCTCTCTTTTCTTCTTTATTAGTCTTGCTAGTGGTCTATCAATTGTGATGATCTTTTCAAAAAACCAGCTCCAGGATTCATTGATTTTTTGAAGGGTTTTTTTGTATCTCTATCTCCTTCAATTCTGCTCCGATCTTAGTTATTTCTTACCTTCTGCTAGCTTTTGAATTTGTTTGCTTTTGCTTCTCTAGTTCCTCTAATTGTGATGTTAGGGTGTTGTTTCTAGCTCTTTCCTGCTTTCTCTTGTGGGCATTTAGTGCTATAAATTTCCCTCTACACACTGGTTTAAATGTGTCCCAGAGATTCTGGTATGATGTGTCTTTGTTCTCATTGGCTTCAAAGAACATATTTATTTGTGCCTTCATTTTGTTATTTACCCAGTAGTCATTCAGGAGCAGGTTGCTCAGTTTCCATGTAGTTGTGCGGTTTTGAGTGAGTTTCTTTTTTTTTTTTTTTTTTTTGAGGCGGAGTCTCACTCTATCACCCTGTCTGGAGTGCAGTGGCACGATCTTGGCTCACTGCAAACTCTGCCTCCCAGGTTCAAGCGATTCTCCTGCCTGAGCCTCCCAAGTAGCTGGGACTACAGGCACCCGCCACCGCACCTGGTTAATTTTTTGTATTTTTAGTAGAGACGGGGTTTCAATGTGTTAGCCAGGATGGTCTTGATCTCCTGAACTCGTGATCTGCCCGCCTCGGCCTCCCAAAGTGCTGAGATTACAGGCGTGAGCCATCGCACCTGGCCTTGAGTGAGTTTCTGAATCCTGAGTTCTAATTTGATTGCACTGTGGTCTGAGAGACAGTTTGTTGTGATTTCCGTTCTTTTACATTTGCTGAGGAGTGCTTTACTTCCAACTATGTGGTCAGTTTTGGAATAAGTGCGATGTAGTGCTGAGAAGAATGTATATTTTGTTGATTTGGGGTGGAGAGTTCTGTAGATATCTATTAGGTCCACTTGGTGCAAAGATGAGTTCAAGTCTTGGATATCCTTGTTAACCTTCTGTCTCGTTGATCTGTCTAATGGGTGTTAAAGCCTCCCATTATTATTGTGTGGGAGTCTAAGTCTCTTTGCAGGTCTCTAAGGACTTGCTTTATGAGTCTGGGTGCTCCTGTATTGGGTGCATATATATTTAGGATAGTTAGCTCTTCTTGTTGAATTGATCCCTTTACCATTATGGCCTTCTTTGTCTCTTTTGATCTTTGTTCATTTAAAGTCTGTTTTATCAGAGACTAGGATTGCAACCCCTACTTTTTTTTGCTTTCCATTTGCTTGGTAGATCTTCCTCCATCCCTATATTTTGAGCTTATGTGTGTCTTTGCACGTGAGATGGGTCTCTTGAATACAGCACAATTACGGGTCTTGAGTCTTTATCCAATTTGCCAGTCTGTGTCTTTTAATTGGGGCATTTAGCCCATTTACATGTAAGGTTAATATTGTTATGTGTGAGTTTGATCCTGTCATTATGATGTTAGTTGGTTATTTTGCTCGTTAATTGATGTAGTTTCTTCACAGCATCGATGGTCTTTACAATTTGGCATGTTTTTGCAGTGGCTGGTACTGGTTGTTCCTTTCCATGTTTAGTGCTTCCTTCAGGAGCTCTTGTATGGCAGGC